>NT_187519.1:151943-303886 GCF_000001405.40 Homo sapiens | reverse complement strand
GTGTCAGAATTGAATTGAATCACTGGACACCTAGTTGGTATCTACAGAGAAACAGAGAATGGCCAGGTGTAGGAGAAAACAAACCCAAACATTTGGTGTCAGAAGCATTATGAGAAAAAGGAACAGTTTTTTCCTTTAAAGTCCTTTATTATTACGATCTTCTGCCTTTCCAGAAAAATATTTATCTTCAGTAAAAAGAAACAGTGCATGTATGGTGATAAACAGAGTTGACATGCAGCCTGCATGCCAGGGATTCAAAAAGGAAGAAGAGTAGGCTCTGTGACAAACCACAGAAATGTGTACCATCCAAAGGAAGCAGCCACTACTCAATTCCAGTCAATCACTGCCATGTGGCAGTGAAAATTCATATTACCAGATATCTGGTCCTTCATGTGAAACACTATTAAACACTGGCTCAAAATTTATCAAACAAACCAAACATGCCTGAGTTGAATTTAGTGTACCCATTGTTAGTTGCAACCTCTGTCACCCTCTCAACATTCAATGTAGTAAGCAGCCCAATGATCTGGGGAATTTATGTGTACAAGAAGGATTAAAATACGTATATTAATTTAATTCAACAAATAATTATTGAGCACTTGCTAAGGGCCAAAGGATATGGTAGTAGTCACAAGACAGGACAGGTCCCCAGACACTGACCCATACTGCAGTGTCGCATCATGCTCGAACGTGGTAAACTACATTCACCTAAAGTAGTACTCTGACAGTCTATTTTATATTCTTCTGGAAGTTCAGTTTAGTGCAAACATTTGTGTAACACCTATGGTGTTCAGACACTGTGCTAAGAGCTTGGAGGACAAAAATGAGCAAGATCAATCTTAGCTCCAAGGAGTTTACAGTCTAATAAGGGAGACACACACCTAGGCAGGTAATTTCAATTTAATAATGTGAGTGCTAGGCCAAAGGTGTGCACAGGGGCCTCTGCCAAAACACAGGAGGGATACTAAGGGCACCCAGAAATCCAAGGAAGGTTTTCCAGAAAAAAATTGACACTGGTGTGGTATCTTGAAGGATAAGTAAGGGTAAGCTAGATGGAAAGGGCATTCGAAGAAGAGAGAACCTCATGATAAACATCACAGAGGTATGGAATAGCATGGTGCCTGCAGGGGGGTCTCAGAAAATTCAGCATTACTAGACGTCAAAACATAAGGTGATGAATGTCAGAAGATGAAGCTAAAGAATCAAGTAAGGGACTTGAGAGTATACCACACCATGGAATGAGTCTGCACTTGATTCTCTCGGTAGAGTCAAATCCCCTAAGATATGATTGCATTTAAAGTTGTTTTTGAGATCAATGAAGGAGGGTGGTACTAATTTTCTATGGAGAAATTGGAGGGAGCATGTAGACCACAGATCACTAACTTATGATATAAAATATTATCATTCTTTGGAAAGAATTGCTAGTCTAACGGACATTTTGTTCTTTCACAGATAGTTTTAAAAAACTTGAATGCTACTTAACCAAGATGTTTTTAAAAACCTAAGTATGTTAAATCCTTGAAGATCATTCAAAACCTTTGATTTCTTAATTGGGTGGCAGGGGATCGGGGGGCGGGAGCGGTGGTAAGACAGGGGATGAAAACAAACGTGAAAAATATTGGCCGAGAAATTTTCTCCTTAAGAAAAAACTCCTGGATCTTTAAAGAAGGACACATGACAAAATGTTGAATAAATAACATGTTTTCGTATTATTTTGATTTTGTGAACTCTAGAGAAAAGCTTTCCATGAGGAAATATTTTATGAGAAGGCAAAGTGATGAAAAATCAGGACAGGAATGAAATATACTTTGAATGGCTTGCTTCTTTAACTTCTAGGTCATAAACTAGACCAAAAGTTGAAAGTCTTACAGGCTACCATCAAAGTCCAGGGCTACAAGCAGGAGACAATAAAAAGGAGATTCTTCTCTTTTCTGCCAGGGAAAACTTCTATCCTCTGCAAACAAAGATGGTTTGGTTCAATGTCGACAAGCTCTTCCTAACTTATGCAGAAAGGCGGTATAATTTAAGGTTCTACGGGGTGTATTTAGAGAATTAGATAGTCCTGGGTTTGAATCCTTGCTTTGCCATTATCTAGCTCTGTGACATTAGGCCAATTACTTAGGTTACTTAACAGCTGTGTACCTTAATTTACTCCTCTGAAAACAGAGATAATAACACCTGCCTTGTGTGGGTACTGCAAATCTGAAGTAATATAACGTAAATAGTTTGACACAGTGCCTCGCACATTATAACCATGTAGTCATCAATAAATGTTAGTTATTACTATATGAGATGGTTAATACTGAGTGTCAACTTAACTGGATTGAAGGATGCAAAGGATTGATCCTGGGTGTGTCTGTGAGGATGTTGCTAAAAGAGATTAACATTTGAGTCAGTGGGCTGGGGAAGGCAGACCCACCCTTAATCTGGGTGGGCACCATCTAATCAGCTGCCAGCGAATATAAAGCAGGCAGAAAAACATGAAAAGGTTAGACTGGCTTAGCCTCCCAGCCTACATCTTTCTCCTGTGCTAGATGCTTCCTGTTCTTGTACCTCAGACAGCGGGTTCTTCAGCTTTGGGACTCAGACTGGCTTCCTTGCTCCTCAGCTTGCAGATGGCCTGTTGTGGGACCTTGTGATTGTGTCAGTTAATAAGTTAATACTACTTAATAAACCCCCTTCATATATATATATTATATCATATTAGTTCTGTCCTTTGAGAGAACCTAATACACCATATAAATGTTTCAATTATCTTTTTTTTTTTTTTTTGAGATGGAGTCTTGCTCTGTCGCCCAGGCCAGAGTGCAGTGGCGCAGTCTCAGCTCACTGCAAGCTCTGCCTCCTGGGTTCACACCATTCTCCTGCCTCAGCCTCCCAAGTAGCTGGGACTACAGGTGCCCACCACCACGCCCGGCTAATTTTTTGTATTTTTAGTAGAGTTGGGTTTCACCATGTTAGCCAGGATGGTCTCTATTTCCTGACCTCGTGATCCACCCACCTTGGTCTCCCAAAGTGTTGGGATTACAGGCGTGAGCCACTGCGCCTGGCCACCTCAATTATCTTTCTTAAAAGGCATTATGAAACACTGAAAATCTATATTGAAATCAGCAAACTTCAATATAGCAAGGGAAGATTTAGCACCAACATTTTAATTGACTCATTACAAAAACCCCTTCCCCCCAAAAGAAGATATTTCTTGATTTTTTATATTTAAGATATCCTAAACATTTTTATTCATGTTACAACTTGTAACACAGCACCATGCATGTATTATTGAAATGTCTGGTTTTTTGTTTGTCTTGTTTTTATTGAGGCAAGGTCTCACTCTGTTGCCCAGGCTGGAGTGCAGTGGCGTGATCAGGGCTTACTGCAGCCTTGACCTCCTGGGATCCTCTGACCTCAGTCTCCAAAGTAGTTGGGACCACAGGTGTACATCAGCATGCTCGGCTAATTTTTTTTTTATTTTTAGAGAGATGGGGTCTCACTATGTTGCCCAGGCTTGTCTGGAACTCTTGGGCTCAAGTGATCCATCCGTTCGTGTGATCATCCTTCCAAACTGCTGAAATTACATGCGTAAGACACTGTATCTGGCCTTGAAATATTTCAATTCACTTACACAGGTAAAACGTGGGGGTAACAATTCAACAACAACAAATAACAGAAGATTAACATTAAAATAGATATCAAGGTCATCTGGCATATCTGCAGTAATCATTTCAATACCTGCATTATATTTAGCTCACATGAATGTTTAAAAAACAACAAAACCTCTCTAAAACCTTATCCTTTCTATGATTCTGACTGTAGTTTTGTTTAGCACATTTTCTTTGCTCATGCTGCAAGGCATGTGTGCTCTGACCATCATTTCCTTCCCCTTTTGCATTACTCATTTCTCTTGCCCTCTGATTCACTTGTCTGCCTAATTTCCTTTCTCACTTCACTTCCCCTTCTTCCACTTCTTTGGCATTACATAAATACTGAGGACTATGAATAATTGAATCACTGCTTGCTAAGTGACCACGTGTTTGGAAGAAAAGCAAATGAATATTTTTAAAATAAGCTACTTCTAAGTATTTTCTATATGGTGATATCTTCCTCAAATTGACATTAAAATCATAAGCAACTAAGATGGAGTTTTTACCACTAATAATTATACAAATCTTCAGGAAAAAGTTATACAGTGAGGAGAAAAGAACTGATCACAAACTTAAATGCAATTGCAGAAAATTAAACTGAAATACTAATTAGCCCACTTCATTTATCAGAGTTAATACACTCCTATACTTCTCAATAGCAAACCCTAACATATACAACTCCAGGATTATAAACCAACTATCAATTCAAGTTAAAAAAAAAAAAAACTTCAAAAACGAAAATTAGAGGATATCCCAATGAAACATCAAGACTTTCATGTTTTCTTAACAGCTGATTTACTAATGACGACAAAGTCAAAACCACCAAAGTAAACTGCAAAGTGAAGCTGGAATAGGCAAGTATGAAAACTTCCACATGGAAAGTTGAATTTGTCCCAAAAAGCAGAACAAGCTGTGACTATATCTTATAGCAAAACAGTTACAAAAAGTTTAAGACAAAAGTACTCTGATAAGTCATAAGATTTAAGCACTATTTAAATGTCACCACAATAATTCTCTGTCACAGAATTATAGAGATAATCTGACCCAACGTTCTTCAAACTCTGGGCCACTGACATTAGAATCACTTAGGCAACTTGATGAAAGTTTAGATTCCTAGAAGCCAACCAGACCAAGTGAATCAGACTCACAGGGGATGGAGTCCAGGAATTTGCACTGAAAACTCCTGGTATAGGTTAATCTTCTCAAATTACCAATAAAGAAATAAAGGACATACGTGATTAAGCTATGTAAAACCTTCTAAAATTACTTGCTAAACACCAGCCTTCTTAGGGAAATGGGAAGACTAACATTTTGATTCTTGGATCCTAAGGCCAACATTTTTTCTGCTACATCATGCAGCTAATTAGACTTATTAGATTTCAGACCTCAAGGAAAATTTAGAGAAATCCAACAGAAATCTAAGTTAAAGTTCTGAACGGTTTCTAGACTTAGCAAAGTCCTTCCTGTATAACACACTTCCTGCTTTCAGACCGGCTCTTTCCATATGGTAAGGCAGAAACGGTATGCTCAGAGAGGAAACTGTAGCAAAATATCACAAGATCGTTTCATCTGAGGATTCATTCCACCACAGTGAAGTTTGATATTTGAGGTCTCAAACAAATACCAACATAGTACTTTGGCCACACTTCAGGGAGAAAATCTAAGCAGCGAAGAAGGCGAGGAGAGAGGGCAGAAGGGAATATTCACACTAAAATAAAATTTATGATTTAAAATAATGCTCACGGATGCATCCAGAAGTGTTTGTTCCCTCAGTGTCTCCTCTTGTCTTTGAGATTTTAGCTGTTGCTGGAGCCCTTCGTTTTCAAGCACAACTACTTGTATTTTATTTTTCATTCCAGAGAGTTCCTCCTATAATAAACAAAACCAAACACATTAAGCATTATTAAGCAGTGTTTTTATTTGTTGATTATTAGAGGGCACAGCATGATATAAAGTACGGAAGACTTATGTTCTCCTTTTCCTGAAATATAATTATATGTTTAGACAAACAAGGCAGCCTAACATTAGCTAGATAACAAAGAGAAGGCTGGGGTATATAGTAATGGGCCTGCTGGTGGCATATCACAGAAGTGTGTCGTTTCTGACAATTTCCTTTTCTCCAAGGAATCGAGGCTCAAAGAAAAGCCTTAATTAAAAGGGTTATCCAAGAGATTTTAAAGAATGGAGTAGATTCTGAAAAATAAGATATATTATTACTCATGATCAAATACCATCAACTTGTTAAAAACTGATGGAAGATTAAATAGAGGGAGGCTCTGAGATAGAAAGGCATAGACGGGAGTGATGATTATCTATGAAATGGTAGCCAAATAAGAGAGAATTGTAGTAAAACATTTCATGGAGAATTGTGAAAGAGTATTTCCTTGGCCTCACAGGGTGTAATATAAAGAATTACAAATCAATAACAATTAAAATTACAGGATGTAACATAAGAAATTACAGGTCAACAATCATTAGAATAGCTATTGAGTGGCACCTCAGTCTCTGGAAAAACGTTTCAATAATATCAACATATCAATCATATAATACTTAACCTAATATTCACTACTAGTGCAATCAAAAGCTATTGTACAACATGTGAAAATTCCTCTCAATTATTATTTTTTAAAAACCCAAAGCTATAATAAAAAGCTGTAATTTAAAAAATATTGTGGACTTTGAATTTTCAGTCTGGAATGTAATGAGCTTGGAACACCTCACTCCCATCTTCCCAACAGGAAAAATGTTGAACAAACTGAAAATCAACAACTCTTCTTAGATCCATCAGAGAAATGAAGTCATAGGGAAAACTGCTGCCCCAAAACTGAAGAGATGGGTGGACGCTGAGACACAGAATTTACAGGAGGAAATCAGAAACCTCTGTAGGAGGTAGAAAATCTAAATCATAATTGATGACTTGCTGGAAGCTCAGTGTCAGCAAGTTTGAGAGTTAAAAATTCCAGACCGGGCGCGGTGGCTCACGCCTGTAATCCCAGCATTTTGAGGCTGAGGTGGGCAGATCATGAGGTCAGGGGTTCAAGACCAGCCTGGCCAATACGGTGAAACCCCATCTCTACTAAAAATACAAAAATTAGCCAGGTGTGATGGCACACGCCTGTAGTCCCAGCTACTCAGGAGGCTGAGGTAGGAGAATGGCTTGAACCTGGGAGGCCAAGGTTTCAGTGAGCCAAGATCACGCCACTGCACTCCAGCCTGGGTGACAGAGCGAGACTCCGTCTCAAAAAAAAAAAAATTCCAGGAAGACCCAGTCATAGAAGGACTGCCCCACTTCCCCAATTTTATCTCCAGGACACTACCAGGTTTTCACAGTAAAAACTAGAAAAAAATCCCCTTATGCAACCTAAAGGAAGAAGAAAAGCAGCCAGTTTGAAATATGCTTGGCATGTTGCATTCCTTGTAACAGGCCTGCCTCAAGGGAAACGACTTTACCAGAGCCTAACTGACTGGAGGGCTGCTGCCACCTAACCGGCCTAAAAAAAGAGAAATCCAGCTCCAGCCCCCTCTTGCATTCCGTGTGGGAGAGGGGGCCTCCGGCTTCCTCTAGCTATCTCGTCTAACTTAAAGGGCAGGGGAGACTGAGAAGCACTTGTGAACGTCACAGCCCAAGGCAAAGGCTTTACTAAAAGACTTAGATCTAGTCATAGGACTATTGAACGCTTCCCTCTACTCCCACATCTAACGACCACATCACTATGGCTCCCGTATACTGACAGAGAAATTCAACAGAAAGAACTGCATATCTCAGACTATATTTAGGAAGAACTCACTAGGGTAATCCATAGACAACAGAAGAGACAAGACCAGGACACTGAAGGAAATTTTAGCCTCTGACATGTACGGTGACAGCAAACACAGCCTAGCTTCCAGCCAGATAAACATAAAAGCTCATGCTAAAGGCCTACTTACCTCAGTTCCTTTTACCAAATATGTCATGTCCAGCATTCATCAAACAATTACAAGACATGCTAAAAGACTGAAACACAGTTTGAAAAGATTTAACAAGCATCAGAAACAGTCTGAGATAAGGCAAAGATGTTAAAATTATCAGACCAGGAATTTAAAATAATTATGATTAAGGCCAGGCACGGTGGCTCACACCTGTAATCCCAGCACTTTGGGAGGCCAAGGTGGGAGGATCACCTGAGGTCAGGAGTTCGAGACCAGCCTGACCAACATAGTGAAACCCCATCTCTACTAAAAATGCAAAAAAAACTAGCCGGGGGTGGTGGTGCATGCCTGTTATCCCAGCCACTCGGGAGGCTGAGGCAGGAGAATCACTTGAACCCAGGAGGCAGAGGTTGCAGTGAGCCAAGATCACGCCACTGCACTTGAGCCTGGGCAACAGAGTGAGACTCCGTCTCAAAATAAATAAATAAATAAAATAATTATGATTACTATGTTAAGGTCTCTAATAGAAAAAATAGACTATATGCAAGAACAGCGGGGTAATATAAGCAGAGAGATGAAAACTCTATGAAAAGAAAATGCTCAAAATAAAAAACTATTAACAGACATGAAGAGTGCCTTTGAAAGGCTCATCAGTAGACTGGATATAGCTGAGGAATGCATTAGTAAACTTTAAGAATTGTCAATAAGAATTTCCAAAAAAGAAGTGCAATAAGGAAAAAAACTGAAGACAGAAAAATTATACAAGAACTGCAGTACAATTACAAATTGTGTAATAAATATATATATATACATGTATATATATATATATAAATAAACAGGGACACAAAAAAGGAAAGAAAGGAAAAGAAGAAACATTTCAGTCAATAATGACTGAAAAATTTCCTGAATTAATGACAGGCACCAAACCACAGATCTAGGAAGCTCACCGAACACCAAGCAGGATAAATACCCCCCAAAAATACACTGAGGAATATCATATTGATACTGCAGAAAATCAAAGACAAAGAGAAAAATCTTAAAATAAGCCAAAGTAAACAAACAAACAAAGAAAACCCAAAAATCAGGCCGGGTGCGGTGGCTCATGCCTGTAATCCCAGCACTTTGGAAGGCCGAGGCAGGCGGATCATGTGAGGGTCAGGAGTTCAAAACCAGCCTGGCTAACATGGTGAAACCCTGTCTCTACTAAAAATACAAAAATTAGCCAGGTGTGGTGGCAGGCACCTGTAATCCCAGCTACTCGGGAGGCTGAGGCATGAGAATTGCTTGAACCCAGGAGGCAGAGGTTGCAGTGAGCCAAGACCTCGCCACTGCACTCCAGCCTGTGCTATAGAGCGAGACTCAGTCTCAAATAAATAATAATAATTAAAAAACAAAAATCAAACAAACAAAAAAACAAAAACCTTACCTACAAAGAAGCAAGGATAAGAATTACCTGGGAGTACTTTGCAGAAGCCGTGCAAACAGGAAGAGAATAAAATGAATCTAATTTTTAAAGTGTTAAAAGAAAAAACCCACCAACCTAGAATTCTGGATTCAGCAAGATTAACCTTCAAAAGAGAAAGAAAAATATTTTCTTAGACAAACAAGAATTGATGGAATTTATTGCTAGCATATATGCCTTGCAAGAAATGTTTAAAAAAGTTCTTCAGAAAGGAGAAAAGGTGATAAAGTCAGAAACTGCCATCTACATAAAGAAAAAAAGAGTATTAAAGAAGGAATAAGTGGATATAAGATAAAATATTTTCTTATTAATTTGACAGATGACACTTTGTGTTCAACATCATAATTGCAATAGTGTTTGTAGTAATTTTAGTTTATGAATAACTGAAGTTAATGGCAGAAATGTTATAAAGGATGAGAGAGGGCTTGGGAATTCTGTTATAAGCAATTTATACTATTCAAGAAGTGGCATAGGTTTACTTGAAAGTAAACTTAAGTTAGTTATAAATATTTACTGCAAATAACAACAGCATCAATCAACGGCTACCAGCAAAGAAAAAAAAAAAGAAGTACAATTGATCAATTGATATGTGAATTGGAAAAAAATGCAATCATACAAAAATTAGCTGGTTGTGGTGGCTCACCTGTAGTCCTAGCTACTAGGAAGGCTGAGGCATGAGAATTGATTGAACCCAGGAGGCAGAGGTTGCAGTGGGCCAAGATGGAGTCACTGCACTACAGCCTGGGCGACTGAGAGAGACTCTGTCTCCAAAAATAAAAAATAAAATGCAATCATATAAAATGCTCAATCAAAGCCACAAAAGGGACAGGTGCAGTGGCTCACACCTCGTAAGCCCAGCACTTTGGAAGGCTGAGGTGGGAGGATCACTTGGGGCCAGGAGTTCGCCACCAGCCTGGGCAACATAGTGAGACCCCATCTCTGTAAAAAAACATAAAAATTAGCCAGGCATAGTGGTGCATGTCTGTAGTCCTAGCTACTCAGCAGGGAGGCGGTAGGAGGACTGCTTGAGCCCAGGAGTTCTAGGCTGTAGTGAGCTTTGATTACGTCACTGCCTAGGTAACAGGGCAAGACTCTATCTCTAAAAAAAAAAAAAAAAAAGCCAGAGAAGGCAGAAAAAGAGTGAATTTTTTTTAAAGAAACAAAAAATAAAGACAATGAAGATAATAGTAACAAATGTGTTATACATTGATCCAATCATAACAATAATCTCTTTAAATATAATGGTCTGAATATACCAACTAAAAGATAGAGACTGTCAGAATGGTTAAAAAAAAGAACAATAAACTATATGTTGTCTACAAGAAGCCTATAATAACTGGGCAAGGTGGCTCATATCTGTAATCCCAGTTACTTGGGAGGCTGAGATGGGAGGATCCCTTGAGCCCAGGAGTTCAAGACCAGCCTGAGCAATATAGTGAGACCCCATCTCTAACCAAAAAAAAAAAAAAAGAAATCTCAAAACAAAAAAAAAAGCCAATTATAAATACGAAGACACAGATAGATTTAAAATAAATGAAGAAAGATGTATCATGTTAACACTAATCAATAGAAAGTTGGAGTAGCAATATGAATTTTAGACAAAGCAGACTTCAGACCAATGAAAATGATCAGAGATAAAGAGGTACATTACATGATGATAAAGAGGTCCATTCACCAAGAAGACGTTACAAGTCTTAATGTATATGTGCCTAATAAAAGTGTATCAAAATGTATGAGGCAAAGGAAAACACATGAATCCACTATTACAGTTGGAAATTTCAACATCCCCTGTCAAAAATTATAAAAATCACAAAGGGCACAATTGAAATGAACAACAGCATCAATCAACTGGATCTAACTGACATTTATAGACTACTTCATCCAAGAACAGCAGTACACACGTTTTCTTCAGGCTCACACAGAACATTCACCAAGACAGACTACAATGTACAAACCTTAACAAATTTAAAAGAATAGGAAAGTATGCTGTCAGACAACAATGGAATTAAACCAGAAATCAATAACAGAACGATAGCTGGGAAACTCCCCAAATACTTGATGATGACACAACACTCTTCTAAATGACACACATGAATCAAAGAAGTATCAAGAGCCATTTAGAAATATTTTCAACTAAGTAAAAATTAAAATACAACTGATAAAAAGCTATATACTTATTAAAAGGATGCAGCAAAAGGAGTGTAAAAAAATTAGAAAAGAAGAAAGATTTCAAATAAATAATCTAAGCTTCTACTTTAGAAGTTGCAAAACCAATAGCAAATTAATTCCAGAGTAAGCAGAAAAGAACATATAATAAAAATTAGAGTAAAAATCAATGAAATTAAAAATAGAAAATCAACAGAGAAAAACAACAAAACCAAAAGTTGGGTCTTTGAAAAGATGAATAAAATTGATAAGACTATATACAGGTTAAGAAAAAAAGAGAAAATATCAATTAGATTCTATCATATACTAAGATCAGAAGTGAAAATGGGGCTATCACTACTGATCCCATGAACATTAAAAGGATAATAAAGAAATGTTTAAAAAACAGGATAACAAAGAAATACTATGAACAACTCCATGATCATGAATTTAGTCACCTAGATGAAATGCACCAATTCTTTGTAAGACACAATCCATGAAAACTCACAGAGGGAGGAATAGATAATCTGAATAAACCTATATTTATCAAGAAAATTAAATCAATAATTAGCAACCTTTCAAAACAGAAAGCACCAGGCCCAGGTAAGTTCACTAGTGAATTCTATCAAATATTTAAGAAAGAAATTATACCAATTATCTATAATATATTTCATAAAATTCAAGAGGAAGTATTTCCTAACTCATTTTATGAGGCCAGCATTAACCTAATACCCGAACCAAGTGAAAACATTACAAGAGTGGAAAATTACAGATCAATATGTCTAATGAACATAGATGAAAAAATCCTCAATAAAATACTAGCAAATCAAATCCAACAATGTAAAAAAGAATTATACACCAGGATAAAGTAAGATTTATTCTAATTACACAACATTGGTTCGACATTTGAGGATCAGTTAATGTAATCCATCATATCAACAATGTTGAGAAGAAAAATCATAATTTTAACAGTAGAGGCAGGAAAAGCTTTTGACAAAATGCGGCAGCCATCTATGATAAACACAGATGGTCCCTGACTTGTGATGGTTTGACTTATGATTTTTTTGACGTTATTATGCTGCAAAAGCAATATGCATTCAGTAGAAACCATAATTCAAGTTTCAAATTTTGTTATTTTCTCAAGCTAGCAATATGTAGTATAATATTCTCTCATGATGCTGGGCAGCAGCAGTGGCAGTGAGCTGTAGCTCCCAGTTAGCCATGCAATCACAGAGGTAAACAACCAATAATCTATAGTATATTCAATGCATTTTCAACTTACAACGAGTTTATCAGGACGCAATCCCATTTTAAGTCGAGAGGCATCTGTACTCTCAGTAACTAGGAATAGAGGAAACATTCTCAACTTGATAAAGAACATCTACAAATAACCTATAGCTAATATACTTTATGGTAGGAAAGTAGTTTCCCACTAAGATCAGGAACAAGGCAAAGATGGCCCCTCTCACAACCATTCAACATCATTCCAAAAAGTCTTAGCTAATGCAATAAGACAATTAAAAAAATAAAATCTGGCTGGGCACATTTGCTAAAGCCTGTAATCTCAACACCTTGGGAAGCCCAGGCAGGAGGACTGTTTGAGCCCAGGAGTTCAAGACCAGCCTGGGCAACATGATGAGACCTCAATTCTACAAATAATAATAATAATAATAAAATAGCCAAGCATGGTGGTGTGCACCTGTGGTCCCAGCTACTAGGGAGGCTGTGGTAGGAGGATCACTTGCGCCCAGGATGTCAAGGCTACAGTGAGCCATGATTATGCCACTGCACTCCAGCCTGTGCACTCCAGCAAGACCCTTCCTCAAGAAAATTAATTAAAATAAATGAAAAATTTAAAAAACACAAAATCTAAATATATTGGAAAGGAGAAAATAACACTGTCTTTCGTTTGCAGACAATATGCTTGTCAATGAGGAAAATCCCAAAGAATCAACAAAAAATGCTGGAACTAATAAGTGACTTATACCAAGGTTGCAGAATACAAGGTCAATATACAAAGTCAATTGTTTTCTTCTATATTAGCAATAAATAATTGGAATTTGAAATTAAATACATAATACCATTACACTAAAAAATAAAATAGGTGGCTGGGCACAGTGGCTCATGCCTGTAATCCCAGCACTTTGGGAGACCGAGGCGGGTGGATCACGAGTTCAGGAGTTCGAGAGCAGCCTGGCCAACATAGTGAAACCCCATCTCTATTAAAAATACAAAAATTAGCCAGGTGTGGTGGCACACACCTGTAGTCCCAGCTATTCGGGAGGCTGAGGCAGAAGAATTGTTTGAACCCGGGAGGCGGAGGATGTAGTGAGCTAAGACTGCAACATTGCACTCCAGCCTGGGTGACAGAGCGAGACTCCACCTCAAAAATAAAATGAAATAGGTATAAATCTCACAAAATTTGTAGAAGATCTATTTGAGGAAAACCACAACACTGATTAAAGAAATCAAAGAAGATCTAAGTAAATAGAGATATTCCATGTTCATGGATAGGGATACTCAATAGTATCAAAATGCCAGTTATTCCCAACTTGATCAATAGATCCAACACAATTCCAATCCAAATCCTATTTTGTGGATATCGACAAACTGATTCTAAAGTTTACAGGGAGATGCAAAAGTCCCAGAATACTCATCACAATATTGAAAAAGAACAAAATTAGAGTACTGATATTACCCAACTTCAAGACTTAATGTAAAGCTACAGTAATCAAGATAGAGTGATAGTGGCCAAAGAATTGACAAGTTAATCAATGGAACAGGAAAGCCCAGAAATAGACCCAAAAATATGGACAACTATCCTTCAAACATGATCTAAATGTAAAATAAACAATTATAAAATACTAGAAGAAGAAAGGAGAAAATATAGTGAACCTGGATTTGGTAATAAATTTTTAAACACAAAGTTAAAAGTACAATCTATGAAAGAAAAAAATTGGTAAGTTAAACTTCATTAAAATTAAAAATTTCTGCTCATTGAAAGATACTGTTAAGAGAAGTAAATGCCAAGTCAAAGACTGGGAGAAAATACTTGAAAAAGACATATCTGATAAAGGACTGGCATCCAAAATACAGAAAGAATTGTTGAAACTCAACACTAAGAAAACGAATAACCTGATTTTAAAAATGGGTGAACGACCTGAACAGACACCTCACTCAAAGATGTTACATAGGTGGAATATAGGCATAGGAAAAGATGCTCAGCATCATTTGTGATCAGGGAATTGAAATTAAAACAGCAATGAGGTTCCACTACACATCTATTAGAACAGCTAAAATCTAAAACACTGACAACACCAAATGCTAATGAGGATATGGAGTATTAGGAACTCTCATTTACTGCATAATGCATAACGGTACAACCACTTTAGAAAAGTTAGGCAATTTCTTGCAAAGTTAAAATTAGTCTTACCATATGATGCAGAAATTGAGCTTCTTGGTATTTACTTTAAAGAGGTAAAAACAGATGTCCACACAAAAACTGACACACAAATGCTTACAGTAGCTTTATTCGCAATTGCCAAAACTTGGAAGCAACAAAGATGCCCTCCCATAGGTGCACAGATAAAAAAGCTATGGTATATTCATCTAATTGAATACTACTTAATAATAAAAAGAAATGAGCTATCAAGTTATGAAAAGACAAGGAGGAAACTTGAATTCATATTACTAAGTATAATAGGCCAGTCAGAAAAGGCTATATACAGAATAATTCCAAGTATATGACATTCTGCAAGTCAAAACTATGGAGAGAGTAAAAAGATCAATGGTTGCCAGGGGATGGGAGGGAAGGGGCGGAGGGGAAGAGGGATGAATAAGTGAAGCGCAAGAGGATGTTTCAGACAGTGAAACTATTCTATATGATACTGTAATGGTGGATATATGTCATTATACACTTGTCAAATTCGTAGAATGTATAACACAAAGCTAATGCAAACTGAGAGACTTAGATAATAATAATTTAACAATAGTGGTTCATCAGTTGTAACAAATGTGCCACACTGATGCAAGATGTTAATAACAAGGGAAACTATTAGGTGAGGGATGTCACTGAAAGGAGGATACAGGACTCTATGTGTTTGCCATTCAACCTTTCTATAAACCTAAAACTGATCTAAAAAATAAAGTCCATTAACTAAATAAACAAAATCTTTCTAAACCACTTAAACATTATTTTAATTCTATTCTTCTCTTACTAAAATGTATCAAATTTACACTCTGTCTGACAGTCAAGGCTTCCGTAATCTTCCATTTTACCAGTTCAGGATTACTTTCATTATTTCTATGAGACATTCTCCACTGCAGGAAGATAAAGTAGATGGCTTATGGCCCCCACAAACCATATTCATCCTGAATACTGTGTTTCACTGTTGCCATTCTCTTTATGAAACTCATCTCCCTTCTGCTGATCTAAATGATCCTATTCCTTTAAGACTGGTTTAGGCCGGGCATCGTGGCTCATACCGGTAATTCCAGCACTTTGGGAGACCAAGGCGGACGGATCACGAGGTCAAGAGATCGAGACCATGCTGGCCAACATGGTGAAACCCCGTCTCTACAAAAAATACAAAAATTAGCTGGGCGTGGTGGCGCAGGCCTGTAATCCCAGCTACTGGGGAGGCTGAGGCAGGAGAATAGCTTGAACCAGGGAGTCGGAGGTTGCAGTGAGCGGAGACTGTGACACCGCACTCCAGTCTGGCGACAATGCGAGACTCCATCAAAAAAAAAAAAAAAAAAAAAAAAAAAACATTGGTTCAAGATCTCTCTCTCCCATAGAAACATTCCCAAAGACAGTAGCTTTTCCTAACCTTCTTCTCTTATTATAATTATAGCTTATACCAAAAAGTAAAGGCCTATACTATGTTCTCTAATGTGCTCCTTATGGTGTTAATAGGGAATAGTTCTGTCTTCTCAACTAGATAGTAAATTTATTCTGCTTTATATCTTTCAAGTTTTATCCACAACATCTTAGGGATTAATAGAGTATTGTTAATGAAATAGTTCCTAGGATATTATTTCAGCTTTACTGGTAATCCAGGACCACGTGTATATTAATAACTGTGTCCTCCAAGAACAAACAGGAAATTACATGTTAAGATCAGAAACTCCCCGGTAAAATCAGGACAGTGAAACATCTAAAGCCTCCTTAAGTTACATACTGGCCTTGCATCTTAAAATGTCAACAATATAATACATAATATCATATACTATATATAAAAACATGATACAAGAGATATCAGTGATTCCTATAAAAATATCATACAATCGAATACACTGATACTAGAAAGAAAGAAAGAGGGAGGGAAAGAAAGAAAGAGAGAAAGAAACAGAAAAAAAAAAGTAAAACACGACATACTTCGGGAAGATGAAAAGGCTCTATTAGCATTAATGACATTAGCAAACTGCACGCAGTTGAGCATATAACCTTCTAGTGTCATAAGCTATATATGATGTGTTTGGTTTCTTGATCATTACTGTCAGTACCCTATGAACCATTCTCATTCAAAGTCAAAGTAAGAGCCTTAATACTGACAGCGGAGAAGAATTGGTCTACCAGTTTAGAATCCCTGATTGCTGTACCACTGCTCCAGTAGGTTGACAAGTATGGGAGAATGATTGGTATTTGTATTCCAAAGCATTTGCCATTTGCTGGGCTACAGCAAGCGGGGTGAGAAGGAAAACTTCTGAAATATGAAAGCATATTATGAAATCATTAGACATAGTAATGAACTACTGGGAAATCAAGCAATCAGAAATGGTATGGTCAAGAGCATCATTCCCAAGTCTGACAAGCTCTTGTGACACATCAGTCTCTCAATCACGTAAGAATAGCAATTGTCAATGTATTGCTACAAACATGAAGATTTATAGCAGCAAATTTTAATACAATCTATAGTTAATATAAGCTTTCATTTATTTAGTTTTAAATTCTTAATGAGAAACTTACCTTGCAGAACTTAACTTCTGCCTCTAAATGATGAATATATTGAGACTGGTCATTAATAGTATGAACAAGGTCGTGCATAGTAGGCATATTGGTTTCCTCATGTTCTAATGACCTCTATGACAAAAAATAAATAAATAAATACATAAATACATAAATTTTAAAAAGCCAAATTAAGCATGTTTGGATTTAGCAAAGAATCAGTTGTTACCTTCTCCATACTCAATTTTGCACTGATGTGATATAAACATAGAATCGATCACAATGTAGCTTATAGTCTTGATATAGTTTGGATGCTTGTCCCCCACAAACCTCAAGTTGAAATGTGGCCCCCAGCATTGGAGGTGGGGCCTGGTGGGAGGTGTTTCGGTCATGATGAATGAATCTTGGTGCTATCCTCATGATAATGAGTTCTTGCTCTGAGTTTTGGTGAGATTTGGTTGTTTAAAAGAATGTGACACCTCTCCCACTTCTTGCTCTGGCTCTCACCACATGAAATGCCTGCTCCCCTTTCACCTTCCACCATGACTGAAAGTTTCCTGAGGCCCTCACCAGAGTGAGATGCCAGTATCACACTTCCTATACAGCCTGCAGAACCATGAGCTGATTAAACCTCTTTTTTAAATAAATTACCCAGCCTCAGGTATTTATTTTTAGCAACACGAGAATGGACTAATACAAATACTTGCTTCTCTATCCTATAAATTCCACAAATACACAAGATTCATGGATGTGAATATCATTTTTTTTAAAGATGGATGGTGAAAGTGGTTATAAAAAGCACATATAGTGAATGGAAAAATGCTGGGGTAGCAGTAGTATAACTGGCTTGGAATAAACTATTTTAACAAATTGGAAAAACAACATTCCATTCAGTAATGCTGAGATACAAGGGACAACTCTCTCCAAGAAACTGCCATGGAAGAGGATTTGCTAGCTAAAACTGCAGCAGCTCCGTGAAGGAGAGATTCTTTAGGAAGCGTTTGATGCCAAGCCAGTGTCAATGCGATGAAATTCCATCTCAAAAAAGATACATTAGCAAAATGTAGTTTTTGATTTTTGGCTCTAGTATTGAAGGCAATTCAAGTGTATGGTGTTCTGGAGCATAGAACCTCCAAGAGTAGAACCCTAAAGTAGAGACACACTGCATTGAGGGGTCCAACGAAGAGATTTCAAAAAAACGCTAATGCTATTTTAGCTCTGTAGCATTCCTGGAACTGACTGTTAATGTATAGCTTACCTTATCCTAAAATAGTTTGTAAAATCATATACCCATCACATAATTTTTTTTTTAAAGGATGAGGAAATCAGGAAAAGGTAAAACAAGGGTCAACCAGTTAAACAAAGCCAGAGGAAAGCTTGAAATGAGGCACAGTGTCTGTTTCTCAGCCACTCTCTTTCTCAGCACAGCAGACATTTTAAATGATAATCAAGTACCAGCTATCATGGCAGAATAAAATAAAATAGAGCTTTGGTTTTTTGGTATATTTAAGAAATTTAAAAACCAAAGTAACTCTAATTAAATGAATTATCTGTCCTGAGTAGAAATCAAACAATTATAATCATCCTCCATTAATAGCAATAGGTTCAGAAGATAGGCAAATATAAATTACTACTATGAGTATACAGGAGGAAGTCAATGTGAAAAATAAAAAGCTCAAGCCAATATTGTATGAAAAATGTTCACATGAAATCATTTGTGTCTACTTTGAAGGGCTTTAGTTTAGATATCTACATTTTAAGACAATAAGTAATAACTTTTTTTCCATCTCAACAGTGCCTCAGTTTTACTCTCAATATATGCATGTATTTCTAATATGTTATACTGGCTATGAAAGTGCATTCTAAAGGTATAATCTTAAAAAGCTAATTATTACTATTATGGTTTATAATTATTACATGTAGGCTGTATACATATAGAGTCTAAGTTCCATTCTTTTACATAGCTCCATATAAATAGACTTGTGTATTTTAAAGTGCACTCTGTATGTACTAAACTGATTCTCTTAGTGAAGGTCTTCCTGCCTGTCTGGATTCAGTAAGCTCCATAATATCACTGCTCAGACTTTAAAAGGCAAATAAGCATGTCTGAGCATTCAACAGATAAAGCAACTTCATCTAGTAGATTTAAAAGCATTCCACCAGTCTGTGCTTAAGAGCAAGCTAGAAACCAGATGTCAATAGTAATAAATTCATTAAATGATGAGATGTTTTACTAAAATTATAAAATCTGTATCTATAAATTTAGAATATGCATATGAAGTACATTTCTCTAAAGTAGGAATTAAGCTTAAAAGTATGTGTCAGCCTGGAATGGAGTGTTCGTATGGGAGTGATACTCTGATATTTCAGTGGTGAAGAAAAGAAAGTGACATGTCTCCACACTTTTCAGCATACAGGCATTGTATTGAACTAGAAAACACATTGAAAATGTGAGGTGGTTACTTGCTGCTATGCATGTTATGTTTATGTAACACTTCATAGGTTTCTAAAGAATTTTAAGTATGTAATCTTATCTCATTATTCCAAAAACTCTGTGAGACAGGCACAATATCTTAGAGAGTATGTGATAGACCCTAGATAGAACTAAGCCCTTGACTATTATTTTGTCCACTTAAATCTGGTCCAGAGTGCTTTCACTCACATCTATCTCAGCCTTTAGCATATAAAATGCTTTAATCAGAAATAATACACTCTGTCAAAGCAATAACAAACAACTTCAGAAGAAATACAGCACCACTTCTTATATATCATACTATTTTATAACCATATATTTTAACATATAGAACATTACATATTAAAACGTATTATTTTGAGGCCAGGCGCGGTGGCTCACACCTATAATCCCGGTGCTTTGGGAGGCCGAGGCTGATGGATTTCCTGAGGTTCAGAGTTCGAGACCAGCCTAGCCAATATGGTGAAACCCCATCTCTACTAAAAATACAAAAAATTAGCCTGGTGTGGTAGTGCACATCTGTAAACCCAAATACTAGGGAGGCTGAGGCAGGAGAATCGCTTGAACCAGGGAGGCAGAGGTTGTAGTGAGGCGAGATCATGCCACTGCACTCTAGCCTGAGCAACAGAATGAGACTCTGTCTCAAAAAAATTAATTAATTAATTAAAAATAAAATGTATTATTTTGACACTCAAAATTTAAAAAATATTACAAAGTAGGGCTACAATTATAATTAAGTAACTTCTAAAAATGATCAATAATAGATATGACCCTCTAAAAAAGAAATTACTAAAATAATGACTTTATCTTTTACATATATTCTGACATATAATTTATTATATTAATTTATTATATATTATATATTTATATTACATATTTTGCTAACAGTTGCAAAATAAATTCTCCAAACTATTCCCTTGCTCCCATTTTCCAAGTGAATAATAAATTTAAAAAATCAAGATTCCCTCTGCCATGGAAATCTATTTTTTCAGCCAAAATAATCAGAGGGAAGAGAATTACTTTTAATGTTTTTCACTATTAGTATGCCATGCTTAAATTTTTTCTGCAACATGTACTACAAAATAACACAATACAGTAAAACACAGGAATGCTTTGTCAACTTGGAAAAGTTGATACTTACCAAGGGGGACATTTTTCTTCTTCTTGACGGAGATACTTCACTTTCCTTATCTGCTTGTTGGCGCAACAAATCTTTGAGCTGATTAACTATAGAGCAAAAGCAGAGGGTTTATTAACCTTATTTGAGATCCATGGTTTCTTACCACCCATCCATCCTTCCAACTAATAAAAATTGCTGATATATTATGCATCAAGAATTCTGCTATCAACTGGGGATACAAGACCAACATAAAAAAAAAAAAAGAATTTCTACCCCTTAAGAGCTAAGAATCTAGCAAGGAAGAGAGAGACACTAATAGATATAAAATAAGTTTGTATGTAGACCTAAAGCTATGCACAGTGCTACAAGAAGAGGAAGAAGCTAATTGTGCTTGTTTTCACAGAGGAGATAACACTGCAAGGATAAACAGGAAGGAGTTCACCAAGCAGAAAAGGATAAGAAAAATTCCAGTTAGAAGTCACTGCACATGTCAAAGCATAAAAGCATAGAGAGGAGGTTATTATAACTAGAATATGAGTTGTGAGATGGATGATTAGCATGAGAAGTACACAAAGATGAGCCGAAGAGGCAGGTTAGAGCTATCTTAGGAAAACACTGTTATTTTATAACTAAGAATTTTGGACTTTAGCCTATAAGCATTGGGAAGTCAAAGGAAAACAAGATTAAGCGAGGGAATTAAATTATCTGATTTGTGTTTGAGGAATAACATCATAGCAGCAGAATGAAGAATGAATGGAGTTATTATTCTACGGAGTTTAAAAAATTCACTATGCATCATTCAGACTAGGATTGACATTCACACTCACCAGCATGGCTCTGTTGTAATTCGGGCCAGGCTGTCCTGGCGTCCTCATTTCCCACACTGGTGCTAAAAGAAAGATTTGGTGCATCTTCTCCAATAGTGACATCGCCTTCTTTCAGGGCACATGTCAGTTGGTGAATGCTTCTGCTGGCATGTTCTGCAAGAACAACCTGACGAAAGTTAGGACCCATGGAGTCTGGTTGACCAAACGGACACTTACTCAGGAAGGCAGTTTTTAAAGGTGAAATCATTATTTCTCGTACTTTATGGAAAAAACGCAGAGTTCTGTTTCTAGCTTGCTGAGGGATGTGCCAAAGATGGTGAGAGAAGATTAACTTCATGGTTTAGAGGTAGGACTTGATGATCTCTAAGGCCCCTACCACTGTAGCAGTTGATTTCACTACATATAGCACCACCGGCAAGGATTAAATGACAGAACTCTTCCCACCAGCTCCCATTAAACAATAACTTGCTAAGGGAAGTGCTCTCCTTCCCACCATGCCTGACTCCTTTACCAACTTGGAGACAGAGGGGGACGAAAGGAGCAGTGGGGAGGTGGGAAGAGCCAGCAAAAGGGACTGCGTCACACCCAGTTCCAACCTAGGGAAGCCTCATTGTCCCTGGGGACAGGAAATCCCTCCCCCACCAAGAGACATCCACATGTCTGGCCTAGTTTTGATCAAAATTTGCATAGCTGAAGTGCTTATAGTGGCAGCCCCGGCGGTACAGCTCTTTCTATATACTGCTGGCCAACCACACCTCATAGATTCTTGGTTAGTGCAACTGACCACCCCTAGAACACACAAAAACTGTCTAAAATGAAGTATTTTAAGGTATATTACTGTGATAGTTCATCTCTAAAAATAGCCTCCAAGGGGTTGCAGCGAGCCGAGATCGCACCACTGCACTCCAGCCTGGCAAGAGAGCGAGACTGTTTCAGAAAAAAAAAAAAAAAAAAATAGCCTCCAAGGAACCCAGCCTCATTCCCTTGTTCTCTTCTAATCTGAAACTGACTGGGCCTGTAATCTGCATTAACCAATAGAATGCAATAAAAGTTATACCATGTCACACCCAAGCCTCATCTTTAAAAGGACTGGCAGCTTCTGCTTCCTCTTGGAATGTTTGCTTTTGGGAGCCCTAAGCCGCTATGTAAGATATCTGACTACCCTGCTGGAGAGACCTGTGAAGAGCATACGTGGAGAGGAAGAGAGAGGCCCTGAGACCCCATGAAGAAAGAGAAAAGCCCTCCCCGCACTGCACCCCGCTGCCCCACTCTGACAGCCCAGTCCTCCAGAGGACTCCAGCACCAGAGGCACGAAGAAAGAGAAAAGCCCTCCCCGCGCTGCACCCCGCTGCCCCACTCTGACAGCCCAGTCCTCCAGAGGACTCCAGCACCAGAGGCCCTCTAACTGCAATGGCACGAAAGAGACCTGATTCATTACCAACCATGTATAAAAATACATTTATAAACATATATTCTGTAGGACCTTGAAAAGCAGTTTCCATTTTGTCCAAGTGCACTGATTTCAAAGTTTGGAACAGAAACAAAAGCAATGTTAGTACTTAATAGAAAAAAAAAGTCTCTGTTATACAATATCTAATACAGTTTCTTTACTTGCAGCAACTCATTTTCTACTTTGATAAAAGAAAACATGTATTTCAGGTCAGGGTTCGACAATGAAATTCTATTACTCAACTATACAAGAGACACAGTTAATTTATCACCATATTTTTCTCCATACCAATCCTATGTCCACACAGATCTTTCTTTGAAATGAATTTGGCGCTGATTACTAATGAAAACTGGCCTCCTCTGACTCATCATGAGTTTAAGGAAGTTCAGATAAGACGCATTCCTGGTTTTGGGAATATATGAAACTGTGATAGTTTTACAATAACTTAGTATTAGAAAATAGAATAGAAAAGCGATTTGGTCATGGAAAAGGAAAATCAAAGTGTTACATGATAAGCAATTCAGTTCATGGAGCTTTAGATTTATGCCCTTAAATCCACGAATAAAACACTTATCTTTATTGAATCTATTAGAAAGGAACGAGACAGTTTGACTAACATAAAAATGTATTCCAGGTAAAAGCATTGCACCGTTGGTGATTACGGAAGAAACAGGAGTGTGGTGTGACCATGAGGAAGCAAAAGAAAATGAGGAACTATACAACCATGAAGCAAACGCTTAGTCTCAGAGATCAGAGGCTTAAAGAAAAGGATAGATTAAAACCTAAAGAGAAAGAAAAGAAGGATCCCAGCGCGTTAAAGGAAAGAGAAGTTCCGCAACACCTTTCCTGATTATTTTGCCAATATAATACACAGCTGGGCCCACCTTACCACATCCTCGTTGATACCAACTTTATCAACTTTTCCATAAAAGCCAAACTGGACTTAGTGCAGTCAATGATGGGCTGTCTGCATGTCAAGTGTATCCCTTGTATAACTGATTGTGTAATGGCTGAAATTGAGAAATTGGGGCAGAAGTATTGAGTGGCTCTAAGGATCGCCAAGGATCCAAGATTTGAACAATTACCATGTACACACACAGGAACCTATGCACATGACTGCTTAGTACAGAGAGTAACTCAGCCTAAGTGTGTGTAAGTGTTACATTGTGCCCACAGTTGACCGGGACTTTTTTTTTTTTTTTCTTGAGAGGGAGTTTGGCTCTTGTCGCCCAGGCTGGAGTGCGATGGCGCAATCTCGGCTCACCGCACCCTCCGCCTCTCGGGTTCAAGCGATTCTCCTGCCTCAGCCTCCCCAATAGCTGGGATTACAGGTACCTGTCACCACGCCCGGCTAATTCTGTATTTTTTTTTAGTAGAGACGGGGTTTCTCCACGTTGGTCAGGCTGGTCTCAAACTCCCGACCTCAGGTGAAATCCGCCCGTCTCAGCCTCCAAAAGTCTTGGGATTACAGGCGTAAGCCACCACGCCCAGTGACCGGGACCTTAAAAGAAGAATCCATAAGATTCCTGGAATTCCTATCATGTATATTTCTTTTTTTTTTTTTTAAGACGGAGTCTCGCTCTGTCGCCCAGGCTGCAGTGTAGTGGTGCGATCTTCACTCACTACAACCTCCGCCTCTCAGGTTCACGCCATTCTCCTGCCTCAGCCTCCCGAGAAACTGGGACTACAGTTACACGCCACCACGCGCAGCTAATTTTTGTACTTTTAGTACAGACAGGGTTTCACCGTGTTAGCGAGGATGGTCTCGATCTCCTGACTTTGTGATCCGCCTGCCTCGGCCTCCCAAAGTGCTGGGGTTACAAGCGTGAGCCACCGCGCCCAGCATTTTTTTTTTTTTTTTTTTGAGACGAAGTTGCACTCTTGTTGCCCAGGCTGGAGTGCAAGTAGTGCAGTCTCAGCTCACTGTGGCTCTGCCTCCAGGGTTCAGATGGTTCTCCTTCCTCAGCCTCCTGAGTGGCTGGGATTGCAGGCATGTGCCACAGTGCCCAGCTAATTTCTTTTTTTTTTTTTGTATTTATAATAGAGACAAATACTTTTGTATTTTTAGTACAGAAAAATACACCTCGGCCTCCCAAAGTGCTGGGATTGCAGGCATGAGCCACCGTGCCTGGCCTACTCACTTTTTGATGCTGTTTTGAAATTGATATTTTGTCTCATAAAAATTTTAGTCCAGGCACAGTGGCTCATGTCTGTGGTCCTGGGACTTTGGGAGGCTAAGGTGGGTGGATCACCTGAGGTCAAGAGTTCAAGACCAGCCTGAACAACGTGACAAAACCCCATCTGTACTAAAAATACAAAAAAGGTTGGCAGGTTGTGGTGTTGTGTGCCTGTGGTCCTGGCTGCTGGGGAGGCTGAGGCAACAGAGTTGCTTGAAGCCGGGGGGCGGAGGTTGCAGTGAGCCGAGATCACACCACTGCATTCCAGGCTGGGTGACAGAGTGAGACTGTCTCATAAAAAAAAAAAAAGAAAAAGAAAAAAAAATTCAGTGATGGTCAAAGGGTACAAAATCTCAGACAGGAAGAATATGTTTTATACTTTTTTTGAGTTCTATTGTACAGTGTGGTGCATATACTTAATAATGGAGTATTACACATTTCAAAATTGATGTTCTCATCACAGAAATGTATTGGAAGTATTGGATATGTTAACTAGCTTTATTTAATTATTCCACATTGTATCCACAATTTATGACATCACTTTGTAACCCATAAATTTATACAATTATAAATTGTCAATTTACAATAAAAAATTTTTGTTGCGTTTTTAAAGAAGAAATGTATTCCATGGAGCTTTCAAATGACTTCACCTCTAAGGCAAGGGATAATTATTTATTTATACCTAGTCTGAGTAAAAGCTAATAAACTATATTAGGAAAAAGAAAAAAAATATGGAAAGAATTTGCATAGTTAAAAGCCTCTGTAGGCAGAGTTCTTTCATCAGATTACAAGAAAGGCAGGAGTTTTTTTTTTTTTTGGAGACGAAGTCTCCCTGTTGTCCCCAGGCTGGAGTGCAATGGTGCGATCTTGGCTCACTGCAACCTCCGCCTCCCAGGTTCAAGCATTTTTCCTGCCTCAGCCTCCCGAGTAGCTGGGATTACAGGCATGCGCCACCACACCCACCTAATTTTTGTATTTTTAGTAGAGATGGGGTTTCACCGTGTTGGCCAGGCTGGTCTCAAACTCCTAACCTCAGGTGATCCACCCACCTTGGCCTCCCAAAGTGCTGGGATTACAGGAGTGAGCCACCATGCCCGGCCTAGGGCAGGATTTTAAGAGCACTTTTCATTCCTTTTCTAATGTTCTTGTTTAATCTTTTAGAATTTATAACATTCAAAGACTACATGTTAAATTGCACTATGAACATAATATTACGTGAAATAATGAGCTATTGAATTCAACAACTATCCCAAAGAAAAGTGACACACAAGGCTTTAGGGTTTGTTTGTTTGCAACTACTGATTTCAGAGTTACTAGGGTCAGAGAGGAAAAGCAGGAATTTGCAAGAACTGTGCCCTAAAACTAAAACTACAGAGTTGACATTTTAAAGTCATTTCAACGCTACATTTCAAAACATGCTAAGTGCTTTTCAAATACATAACAAACCAGCATAATTATATACTATAACAGATAAACACAGTTAATGTGAAGAAGAATAACACTCAGATGATTCAGGACAGATGAAATCCCATGGCTCTTCAACTGGAGCCATTGCAACTGAAGCCCCCATAATCCTTATTAAGAGCACTACTCCCCAGATGCAGTTATCTGCTCCTTACATTTAAGGAAACCAGATTAGACAGAAGGTTCCAGTTACCGTTTCCTATCCAACTGCTAATGGGACACAGCTTTATCTGTTTCTAACCAAGAGAGAGAACACACTCATTTCCTCTTCTCTCCTGAGAGGACAGTAAGGGTATTTCACAATGAATGCATCCTGATTTCTTTTCCCCAGCACCAACCAGGAACTGACTATAAACTTAACTATGACTACAGACACAAACAGGACCCCTGAGTCCTACAGATCACATGAACGTAAGTGCAAGTAGATAATATTTCTGCTAATGCACTATCCAAACATCAATCAGTACAATGAGCACTTAAAAGGTACCTGAGCTAATGGCTGCTAGCTAATTTCAGTCTGTCTTGTCCATTTTCTTTCTTCTTTTTTTTTTGAGATGGAGTTTTCGCTCTGGTTGCCCAGGCTGGAGTGCAATGGTGCAATCTCGGCTCACTGCAACCTCCGCCTCCCAGGTTCAAGCAATTCTCCTGCCTCAGCCTCCTGAGTAGCTGGGATTACAGGCATGCACCACCACACCTGGGTAATTTTGTATTTTTGGTAGAGACAGGGTTTCTCCATGTTGGTCAGGCTGGTCTCAAACCCTCGACCTCAGGTGATCCTTCCGCCTCAGCCTCCCAAAGTGCTGGGATTACAGGCGTGAGCCACCCTGCCTGGCCTGTATTGTCCATTTTCTTAGTAAGAGTTTCCCTACTTCCTATGTTCTAACTCTTAGGTCACCACTGGGCCTGTCTTCATCAAGATGTTTTTGAACAAAATGCAAGTATGTCTCAGTCTAGGAAGAATCACCACTTAAATACACACTATGAATTATTAATTTCTTCATTCTCCATCTGTCCTGGGAGATGTGAAAGAGAATTGCCCTGGTGACAGGGAGGGGGACCACTCCCTGCGAAGCGCCCAGCTGTCTCTGAGAGAATATGCAATGAACCATTCCTCCCGAGGCCGAGATATGAGATGCACTGCAGCTCCCAGCACAAGCTTTGATTAGGGCAGACATGCAGAAAAATAAAACCACAGTGAGATAAGAAATACATGTCTATCTACACTTGACTGGGCCTCAGCCTGGTTCAGAAGATTGCTGTCACTGTTTACTAGGGGACCAACAGGTAACACTACCAAGATATAAACAGCAGAATCAAAAAATCAGACAATGTCGGCTTTGTGAAAGGCAATTACAATTGTGAAAGAGATTACAAGTACTATGTAGAATACT
This sequence comes from Homo sapiens, assembly GCF_000001405.40. Taxonomy (NCBI): domain Eukaryota; kingdom Metazoa; phylum Chordata; class Mammalia; order Primates; family Hominidae; genus Homo; species Homo sapiens. Next base: position 275,883 of record NT_187519.1, on the reverse strand, counting down.
TTTTTGTTTGAATCTCAAAGAAAATACTATCCTAAGACTCTAATAACTGAAAACATGCTAAAGTGGTTGGCGCCAGGAGTAAAAGATAATCTGATAAAGAATGTAAACATCTTAAGAAAGCAATGTCTGGAAGACCATTAAAGATATGTGGGTGTTGGCAAATCCAGGAGATTGGCTATATGCATTCTAAGGGATACACCTGGTATTTCTTTGGCATCAGTGGAGAGGACTGATGCACCTGTCACTTTCCACTGATAAAAGAAGTAAACCTAGCCAGGCTGGCAAAGAACATAGGTAAAATCACCAGCAAATACAATCTGTATATCCTTACTTGTAATTACTGTAAAGTAGGATTCTTGCAGATCAAGGGCTACAAGCAAAGCCTGTACTTCTAGATCGTGATTTCTCAACCTCAGCACTATTGACAGTTTGGACCTGATAATTCTCTTTTGGAAGGGGCTGTGTTGTGCCAGTTTAATAGCATCCCTGGCTTCTGCCTACCAGAGGCCAGCAGCACTCATCTCCACCCCCAATTGTGACAATAAAAAAAAATCAATAAAACAAGACAGTTTTCAAGTCAATAAAACGAGATCAATAAAACAAGAGTTTTCAGTGTTGAGGGGAGACTTGCTATCACTCTGACCACATTACATTGTAAGTGTTGCCGCCTCTTGATGGAAAATGAGCGTGACAGTGAGCTATTCTGCCACAGGAGTGCTGGTGGGGAGGACACAGCCTGAGACCGACAGTGCCATGATGGGACACATCTGATCCAGGTGTCAGGAATAGGTGTTATATCTATCAGAAGCAAGAGCTCAGATTCATATTTAGCTTTATTTTGTTTCAGGGCCTAAAAGCAATATTTGCCCTAAGGCCATCCCTTTAAGTATCCAGTGGGCTTTGATGAAGTTCCGCCATCATCAGGATTGCTTCAGCCAGTGCACAAGGGCATTTCTAGCTACCTTGTCTACTTTTGGACTCTGAGAAGAGTTATCATCAAGTAAAATGGTGAAAATCTTAGCACAAACTGGCAATGTGATCAGACCATAAGTCTTTAAACATCCCAGGAGAGAATATTATTACTCTCAGTATCTCAATAGTTTGAAAAAAACTTACTCTATACCTATTTCTGACAAAGAACATGAAAAAGTACCCCTACAATCTCCTAACACTGAAACATACCTTTGATTTAGATTATTCCAGGGATGACTATTTACTTGTAGAACACTCATTTCTTTTCTGGTTGCTAAATCCTGTCTTTTGCCAATTTTATCTCATCAGTAGTAGGAAAGAAAAATTGAGATTGTACTTTTAAGTTCTAGTAAAATAAAAGATCATAAAAGTTAAAGGCACTAAGAAGAGCCACATGAGGCCAGGCACAATGGCTCATGCCTGTAATCCCAGCACTTTGGGAGGCCAAGGCAGGTGGATCACTTGAGGCCAGGAGTTCGAGACCAGCCTGGGCAACATGGTGAAACCCTGCCTCTACTAAAAATAAAAAAATTAGCCGGGCGTGGTGGTGGCACCTGTAATCACAGCTACTCGGGAGGCTGAGGCAGGAGAATCGCTTGAACTCAGGAGGCAGAAGTTGCAGTGAGCCAAGATCACATCACTGCACTCCAGCCTGGGCAAAAGAATAAGACCCTGTCTCAAAAGAAAAAAAAAAAGTCGGGCACCGTGGCTCATGCCTGTAATCCCAGCACTTTGGGAGGCCAAGGCAGGCAGATCACCTGAGGTTGGGAGTTTGAGACCAGCCTGACCAATATGGAGAAACCCCGTCTCTACTAAAAATACAAAATTAGCCAGGTGTGTTGGCACGTGCCTGTAACCCAGCTACTCGGGAGGCTGAGGCAGGAGAATCGCTTAAACCTGGGAGGTGGAAGTTGCAGTGAGCTGAGATTAAAAAAAAAAAAAAAAGAAAAAGAAAAGCCACATGAATATATAAAACAAAAGATGAATATGTATAATTTGAATTTTATCAGCAAAAAACCCCTCATGTTTATGTGTGTATATTCCTATATAGTGCATATGGCAAACAATATTTAAAAATCCAGAAAATATTTGAGAAAAGCAAAAAAGAAATACAAGTTTTATAAGAAAACAGGAATACTTATTTGAGTTACACATATGTTTTCTTAAGACAGCCAGATGATATCACTGCTGGCTAATACACTGACCAAATTGTTGGCTAGTAAGACTAACACAGCCCTTCTACAATTGTGAGCCACTTTGCAGGATTTGGATAGATGTGCTAATCATATACAAGCAAAACATAGAAAGTCAACCTTATCTTTGGTTTTCTTGAACTACATCAATTCGTAAAGACAAGGCCCATCCCTGAGATTATATATTTTCTTCTCATATTCATCCTCTCACTTTCTGTGTACCTGGTTCAACTCCTTACTCTCATTTCCATAAGACAAAAACATAGCCCTTAATCATTCATCTGGTCCAAACAAGTGCTGATGGAAGGAACATTAATGATCAAAGGGTCAGAGAGTGGTGTCTAAAGGGGAATCAGGCTCTGGGTGTGTTTTGCTTGGCTTCCTTCTTGGAAGAAAAGAGGGAGGAAAAGAGGGAAAAAGAGAGAAGAAAAAAAAGGAAGCAAAGAGGGAGGGAGCAAGGAAGAAATTGAAATGTTTTTAGAAAAAGCAGAAACTGCCCAATTTGGCCATAAGCCTCATCATTTCCCTTAATGTCTTCCACTGACTCCATCATACCTTTTGATCATTTGCTTGGCACCTAAAGGCAATAATTCTCACATCCAGTCCAAACTTTTCGTTTTACAGTTGAGGAAACGGGAATCCAAGAACAGTGTGTTTCACTTGCCTAAGGTTACCCAGATGGTTGTCAGCAAAGCAAAAGTAAGTGCAGTGACCTGGCTCCCAGCTCCACATTCTCTCCTCTGACCCCACCACACTCTTCCCATAAATTCATCTAAAGGCTGAAACACCAAAATGTTGACAGAAAAAGGTAAAACCAGAATGCAAAATGTATATAGAAAATCATGAGTTCCTGTCATACAAGAAGTTTGTTTCATTTTTCCTTATACTCACCCAACCAAAGGTGGCTAGGAATGAGGTGAATAGGTGAGTCATGTATACAGGTGTTGTTGATAAAATTGTTATCTATTCCCAACGCTGCAGCAAGAGATGAGACATGATTCTGTTATTAAGGCTAAAATACTGCATTTCTAGCAATTTTTCTCCTTTCTGATATCCCCTTACACTCAAGTGTGCAGTACTTAAAATAGAGCCTGGATTGCCTATAATTGTGGCTTTTTTCACCCTTTCTTGGCTATGAAATAGTTCATTTCATACCTCTTGGCTTTATACAACGATGTATTGAATTTAGAGAAGGCGCATGTGCTATCTTGCCCACTTACAAATGTAGTTCTCGGCCATTCTGTGGTTGTTGAATTATAACTACCCATAGAGTAAATGAACACCTAACCTTACTGCCAAGAGACCTCCCAAATCACTTCCAGTTCTAGATTAAATTCTGTGGTTCCCAGGATACCCAGGACACATACACTTTTAACCACACTGGAAACTTTCAGACCATTTACTATGTAGGAATAATACAACAGATCTGTGGGGGCAACAAAGCCTTCCGGTTTTTCTGCCAGAACTCTCGTTTTGAAGAAGAATCATTAAATGTCTCCAATTTCTTGTAAAAGGGCATAGGCGACCCAAAGCAAGAGATATCTTTAGAGAAGTCAAACAGCAAATCCACTGAAAAGTGTAAGGGAATGGATGAAAGGTGAATGTGGAGCTGCTCCAAGATCATCAAGGTCAAAATGAGGCAAGGATCTCATTTTAAAAGCAAGAAAGTAAACGCTGACTCAGTTTTCACATTACAACTTCAAATTATTGATATACCATAATAGTACCAAAATTAAAGAAATGAGGAAAATATCTTTTTTTGTTTGTTTGTTTTGGAGATAGGATTTCACTCTTGTTACCCAGGCTGGAGTGCAGTGGCGCGATCTCAGCACACTGCAACCTCCGCCCACCGCAACCTGCGCCTCCCAGGCTCAAGCAATTCTCCTGCCTCAGCCTCCCGAGTAGCTGGGGTTACACGCGCCTGCCACCACGCCTGGCTCATTTTGTATTTTTAGTAGAGACAGGGTTTCTCCATATTGCTCAGGCTGTTCTCGAACTCCAGACGTCAGGTGATCTGCCCGCCTCGGCCTCCCAAAGTGCTGGGATTACAGGCGTGAGCCACCGCGCCCAACCTCATTTTAAAAACAAGAAAGTAAATGCTGACTCAGTTTTCACATTAGAACTTCAAATTTTGATATACCATAATAGTACCAACATTAAAGAAATAAGGAAATTTGTTTTTGTTTTTGTTTTTGTTGTTTTTTGAGACAGAGTCTCGCTCTGTCGCCCAGGCTGGAGTGCAGTGGCGCGATCTCGGCTCACTGCAAGCTCCACCTCCTGGGTTCATGCCATTCTCCTGCCTCAGCCTCCTGAGTAGCTGGGACTACAGGCGCCCGCCACCACGCCCGGCTAGTTTTTTGTATTTTTTTTTTTAGTACAGACGGGGTTTCACCGTGTTAGCCAGGCTGGTCTCCCATCTCCTGACCTCGTGATCCGCCCGCCCCAGCCTCCCAAAGTGCTGGGATTACAGGCGTGAGCCACCACGCCCGGCCCCAGGAAAAGATCTTTTTAAAATGGAAGTACGATCACGGAAAATAGGGAAAGCATTTTGCATTTTTATGCGGCCACTTCCTGGCTGAATATCAATGAAGGGATATTAGTAGTGACTACATGTGCAGTTATTTACAAGCTAGAGGAAAAACCGGTGAGGAAAGACCAAGACTGTTTATTAGGCTTCCATTAATCATAAACTACGCAAGGCATTTGGGGAAGTAATGGTGGGTAGACAAAACCAAACAAACCAACAAAACCAAAACAAAATAAGACATAGAACTTTAAACTGCATTTTATCTTACTACATAGTAATACAATTCTTAAATTATTAGGCACACTCAAAATAAGGAATTTCCACATAACTCCAGCATTGTTTATTAAGGAACAGAATACTTTACTTTAAAGGGAATTATCAGCCGGGCGCGGTGGCTCACGCCTATAACCCCAGACTTTGGGAGGCTGAAGTGGGCGGATCACTTAAGGTCAGGAGTTCTAGAGCAGCCTGACCAACATGGCGAAACCCAGTCTCTACTAAAAATACAAAAATTAGCCGGGCATGGTGGCGCGTGCCTGTAATCCCAGCTACTTGGGAGGCTGAGGCTGGAGAGTTGCTTGAATCCAGGAGGCAGAGGCTGCAGTGAGCCGAGATGGCACCACTGCATTTCAGCCTGGATGACAGAGTGAGACTCCATCTCTAAATAAATAAATTATACTACTCAAAAATAGCAATTTATATTTGTGAAGAACTTCTGACTGTACTTAAGTTCAGAGTTAATTCTGTTTTGTTTCCTTCCAGAAGCTGTTATATAAGCTAACATACAAAAATAAAAGTGCTACTAAATAAATGATATGTCCTGAAAAACCCATAAACATTTCAGGTTACATTTCCTGATTCACTGTTAAAATTATGAATACGTTTTTTTTTAAGTTGTTTAACTTTTTCTATCCTTCGTATTTGCTCTTGGTGAAATGTTTCCACTACCTTATATTGTTATCACACTAAATTTAAATTTTATTTCAAACTAATTTTAAAATGTATTATCCTTAAATGAAAACCCTTCATTCTGTAATTATTGAAAGCAGTACCACTAGTATTAAACATATTACTATAACATTAATTTAAAATGAACCCCTTTACTGCGTCAAAATGCCTAATGTTAAACAGCCTCCGACAATTATATAAAGACTTAAAATAAGGTCAAAGGAAGAGAAGCATCAGGAAAAACTTTCAATGAAAACAAAAAATTTTTGCCAATCTTAAAAATTACAATTACTCATATCATTGTGCACAGTATTTTTCTTGCTTCCAAATGAAAAGTTAGAAGTGCTTATTTTGTATCTAACAGCTCTTGAAACATCAGTAGGTTGAGGAAGGTGTTCATTAAAACCGATTTTTTTACTCCTGCAGTTTGAATACTGAGAATGTCGACAGTTTGTTAACACAATTGACAGATGTAACAATACATAGTAACCCTTATAAAATCTAGAGTCATGAGAAGATAAACTTTCTAATATTGAAAAACCTTCACTTTGCTTTAAGTAACAAGTATAAATAACAATTAACATTTAATGAGTGCTTGTCTAGTAAGCACTGATCTTTACCCTTACTTTCTATCATAGTAATCTATAATTATTTTTTTTTTTTGTCTTTCTCCCCAACTAATCCAGAAGCTCCATGGGGATAGGAACTTTGTCTTGTTCCTTACTGCATGCCTAGCACCTAGTATGCTTAACACATAGTAGGAGGCACTGACACATAGTAGGCATATTATGCAGAACAACACATGCTTCATAACTTAGTATTCTCAATGTCGCAAACAGTCATGACCTAGAGGCTTATGAAAATGCAACAGAATAGAAAGCAGAGTTTATTACATTTAGTAGAATAAAAATTCTTCAGTGAAACTTATAGTTTATATGTACACATATGTCCCATATAAAATTTATTTCTTACTATAGGTAAACATTTTAAGAAGTCTTAAAATCACTGCTTTATGGGGATTATTTCATTTGCTCCCCACAATAACCCTATGGACAATTCCATAACTTCCATTATAACAGAATCGAAATTTCTAGATGTTATATATGCTGTCCAAGTTGACAGCGCCATCTAAAAGTACAGACATTAAGTCCAACAGAGCTTAAAGGAAAATAAATACAGACATTATTTGTACAGATACTTGCTCATATGGTAATGTGGTAAGAAAATCTAAATTAATAAGGTTTTGATAATAGTAATTATGGCTTGATTAGTAAATACAAACATAGGCTTTGAAGGCAAGCCTGATAATACCTGGCTCTGCAACTAACCAGCTGTGTGGGCTCTGGCCTGTAATTCAACCTCTCTGAGCTTCGCTTTCCCCATGTGTAAAATATTCACACGATTGGTGTAAGCTGCAGATGATTTACTGTATGTAAATAGCCTAAATCAATTAAAAGGGGGCTCTTGTGATTAAAATAATTATTAGTGTTTCCCCCCACTGATCCCATAAATCACATTCAATCCACTGTGCCATAATTTAAATGTGTAAAAACTGTGAATCAGACTTTTATTGGATTAAATAGCAACGTATGGGAACTGAACAAAAATGGCATAGAGCTATCCAAGAGTTTCTGCTGTCGCCGGTTGAGAAAGATGCCAAGTTAAGATCAAGGAGTTGATTGAGGTAACTACGGGAATCTGAGGAAACATCGTTGCTTAACTGTAAAAACTAAATCAAACTATTTCATCCTCCTCAAGACCACAGCAACATCCATCTTGCTCCTCTGTAGCGTGGACGGGGCAGAACCCAGGTGTTAGGAAACGCACCTGGTCTGCTCCCGCCCACTAGGCCCTGGGCACCTCGGGGCTAGGGACAGAGGTTTGGAGCAACTCACCCCGGAGACTCCGTTGATACTGCCCCAGAATCTCCTCCAGGGTAGAGTTCTCCGGGGACTTCGCCATGCACGCACTCTAGGCCCAGAGCTGGGAGTTACGTGGGGAAATGTCCAGCTTTCTCCCTTCCGAGAACAACAGGCCTGTGGCCGGGGAGCGCCCGCCTGCTTCCTGCCGCGGCTGTCACAGGGGAGCCTAGAATCCCGCACAGAGCTCTTGGGGGCTCTTCCCACCCACTGGCCCTCGCTTTGCACGTCGGGAGTTGTAGTCCTCACGTTCAGAACCTGCAAGCTCGACAATCCTCAGGGCCTTCCAGTTACACTACAATTCCCAGAAACCACTGCGCTCCAGGCGCTAGCTTGGACGGTTTGGCTGCCAGAGCCTGCTGCCAAGAGACAGGCTTGCAGGCCCCGCCCTTTTCCTCCAGCCCAGCCTGGTTTAGTCCCGCCTCCATCCCACTCTTCAGCTGCCTGGACCACCCAAATGACAGAAAGGGCTCACTGAAGGCCTTGACGCTTCGAAATTTGCTAATATGCAGCAGTTGATCCCCAGGCTACTCAAGGACGCAGATAGTAAACTCTGAACCCTGCTTCAGTTGCGAGATTTTTTAAAACGGTCGAATAAATCTTCAAGAAATAGAAGCTCTAAATCTTCCAAACAGCCTAGATTGTAAAGGCGGCCGACACTACAACTCCTAGCATGCCCAGCAACCGGACCTTCACTTGGAGTTGGCGCTCTGCCCGCTGGGAACTGTAGTCCTTGTTGGTTGCGGTCCCACCTAACGCCGAGGTCCTCTTCATTGTTCAAGCTGGTCTTTCGGGGCACGCCTGCGCAGTGGGCAAGCTGGAAAAGCGTGTGGGTGAGACCCTCGCACAACCCCTTTTCATTGTCTGTGTGTGGCGCCTGCGCAGTAAGGGATCGTTGGAACTGGGCAGGAGGGGATAGGGTCCGGCTCCTCGCCCTTTCCCGAGGCGCCTGCGCACTAGGCAGTCGGTCTTTGCCGTTACCGCTATGTGTGGGGCGTGTGTGGAATAACGTTATTGCCCAGCGGAGCTGAGGGCCCCGGAGCTCGACCGCAGCGGCAGCGACGACAACAGCGGCGACGACGACGACGACGAGGTGGGGGGAGGACGGCGTGCGAGAGACTCACGGGACGCGACGCGCCCCGCCTCCCCCGTCCGGTCCCTCTCTCCACGGTAAGGGGTAAGTGATGCGATCGGCTGCTCGGTGTAGGCGCCGCAGCCGCAGCCACCGCCGCGGCTGCTTTCCACATCCTGCTCCTCGGGTTTGCGGCGAGGACTCGGGCGCCGCCCGCCGCGGGGCGGGGGTGCGGGGCTGGACCGCGAAGGGGGCGCTTCCCGGGTGCTCCGCGCGGCGCCGCCACCCCCACCCTCTGCCCGCCTGGGACCCGGGGCTTGACGGGACCACCCTTCCCATCCCCCACCCGCCGCCCCCCGGAGCTCCAGTCCTGCGGCCCCCCGGCTTTCCCGAGCCCCTTGCTGCCGCCTCCGCATCCCCTAAGTGCATTGAATCATTTTCAGCTTTCGACTGGCTTTGTGCAGCCCTCCCCCCTCCGCCGTAGCAGTTTGCGAGGGGTGCGGGCGGAGCATTGGAGGGAATGGCTGCGCTGCCGCTGGGGAAGGGATTTTTCCCCCATTGGAGCAGCTCCCCGGGCCAATCCCTTTTGTGTGATTGGTTTTGGGGTGTGAGGCGGTTGGCGAGGTCAGGCGAGCAACCTTTTGGACGCGTTGGGAGGGCGTGGAAGACGCGGTGTCATGCACCCTGCCTGGCGACTGCACCCCGTGGAGGCTCTGGCTCTGTAGTAAACCCGGGGGAGGAGAGAGTGGCTTCCTGTCGGCTTCATTGTCCTAGGATTCAGATGTAGGGTTTTGGTACGTTTCGCTTCCATTTTATGCAAGCGATGAAAAAATAACATTTGCAGCTGCCTAACACAGGGCGGGAAGACGTGGGATTTGTATACTAAGTCACAGAATCTCTGTTCGGTGGTGTTTCGTAGAGTTTTATTTATTTATTTATTTATTTATTTATTTATTTTGAGGAATGTAAGGAAGACAGGGACTATGCCTGCTGGAGTCCAAGCACTGCCAAGGTGATCAATATAAAATTACTAGGTGACGTTGGAGCCTGGGCTAGAGAGGGCCTGACAACGAAGCTGTTGTGTCAGGGAAATGAACAAGCAGAATTGTTTTTTCATTGGGCAGGTAATGCATTTATGTTCCTGAGGGAATGGATACATCTTTCCGTTTATTTTTTAAGCAAGTAAAACAAACAAAACAACTGGCCCAGTACATTTCTGTTACCGAAGTTGTTAACTCATTTTTATTCTCTTAATGAAAATTCAGCCATTTGGGAGGAATTTGGCGAAGCAGATGATACATTTGATTGAAAATGCATATTTTAAAATGATTTAATCCTTAAGCTTACAATGTATGCAGCCGTTTGCTGGCGTTGCTTCTTAAAACACACCAGAAGAGAGAATAAAGCAGGATGGGGAGGAGCAGGTGGAGGAATAATGGGAGAGGAGAGAGTGACATTATGACTATAGTATCTGGATCTTCACTGGTATAACCCTAACTGGGTATGCTTCAGAGACTTAGGAATTCAGCTCTGGAAACAGTACACTGATGAATAGCAACTTATGTATTTTTCTGTTATTATTTTTTAAAAAGTAAAACTAGGGCTGCCTTTAGCTCTTCCTAACTTTGTAGATAACACGGAAGAGCCCAAGTGCACTTGACAGAGGAAGACACTAAAACTCAGAAAGTTAACTGACTTGTCTGCCCAAGCCAGACAGTTAATCGAAGGCAGAGCCAAACGAAACTCAAGGTCCATTCTGCAGAGTGATCTTTCCTGTGTCCCCCTAGCCCTTTTACCTTGTGAAAATGTATGGAAAGCTTCTCTATGTGCTCCCTGAGTAGGCTGTGACTATCACTGAACTTGATTCTCACCGTGATTAATCTAGTTCTTGCCTTTGTGATGTAAAAGTAGTAATCCTCCTAAAATGGACCTTTACTTTCATAAAGTAACTTACTACATGAGGAAAGATGTCCTAACATGTGCTTTTCATAAAAACGAAGTGTTGCAGTGTTTTCCCTACTACCTAATGGTAGCTACTTAACGGTAGGTTTTAATATTATTTCTTGAAAATCAATAGTATTTTATAATAGTATGATGATCAACTCTATAGGCTGTGTTAAAAATAAAATTTCCGCATAACAAGAACCTATGATGTTTATTTTGCCACAGTTAATGAGTTGTAATCATTAATGAGTTATTAGTGATTACTTTTAACTTAAACTAGAATTTACATTTTAAGATATATTAACTTTATGTTTTTTATTGGGTTGATTTTGCCATAAAGTGCTTTTTTCTTCCCTTATAATTTTAATCGTTTAATTTTACGTTGCATTTTAATAGACTTCTTTAAAGGATTTATTATTTATCTTAAATTTCAACTTTAAAAATCTGTAACTAAATTTCAGTATGTGGGATTATATTCAATCATGCTTTAAATGTATTTTACTGGTAAATTTCATTGTGTTCTGAGATTATTTTGTATGGAAATAATCTGCCTGTTCCCTATTTTAACATTAGAATAGTGAAATTTATACTGTAAACCTTAGCATACATTCTGCATATTAATGCTGTTATGGTACTTTTTAAAATTCTGTGCTTCGTGATTTATTTGATTTGTTCCAAGTATCAGTTTCTTGTTCCTTTTTATCTACTGAAAAAAAGAACTAGTTTTATTATTGTATCTGATTGCAATTAGATAATGCTCATCTAGTACTAAATATTGTATATGCTTAAGCTTTTTTGTCAAAATGTTTTTTATTCCACAAAATTGTATTCCTGAAAAATATTTTTTCTATACTAATTAATAGGTAAAGACTTTTCTTTCTTATCTGTCCCAAACACTGGGATGTTAAGCAGTGTACTCTTCAACTAAGTATCTGACAGACAACCTGATATTTAATTGCTAACTAAAGTATCTGTACAGTTGCAAATTATTCTGGAAGTATAACAAAAGAGCAGTTACGTGCCATTTGAAGAATGCTTGGTGAGTAGATAGTATTGACTGGAGCATTCAGTGTTGATCTGTTTCATTAAGAAATGGGATACTTTTGATGGGAAGAAATATCTTTATTTCATTAATAACCAAAATTTCTAATCAGATACCCTAGGTTTTTATTTACTTACTCAAAAATTTCATAAAGGAGTGTTCAGCAGTGAGTTAGCCATTGTGAGAGATAAAAAACATCTGTCTGGTAGTGTGGTTGATTAAACTGGATATATTGTCCAGTTTAGCAGAAATGTTTTAGCCAAAGCCAGTGACATAGCCAATGTGTGTTGCTGTTAAAGCCCACTTTTATATCAAATAAAGGTGGAAAAACAAAACAGCAAAAGCAAAGTTAAAGAAAACCTCATAAAATCTACTTACATACAAACAGGAATTGCAGAAAGTATAGAAGTGGAAAAGAATCCCAAGCATGCATTGTTGAGGTCTGAAAAACAAATGACACATAGCAGAGAACAAGTCATTTTTTAAGTATATCCATAAGTAATAAATGATATAGAAAATATTACCCTTTGAAACACAATATTTATTGAATCGTTGAATAATACCTACCAAATTTTGAACATTTCCTAGGTGCCAGGAAGTTTATGTGTGTGTGGTGTGTGTGTATTTAATTTCTGCAACAAACTTCTAAATTAAGGTATTATTTTTACACATTGAAAAAATTTGAAGCATAGAGTTAGTGAATAACTTTGCCTCTGCGTTACACATTCCTAAGTGATAGGGCCTATAATTGAACCTTTGTCTTTTTGGCTAAAGCCAAAATTCTTTCTACTCATCTTTTTTAGTAAGTTAAAGGGTACCACTTATTTCCTTACTCTGGTTCATAAAATTTTAGAATTCAAGGGAACTTTAGAAGTCAGCTCATACAATGTATCACCCACTACTAATATCTCTGAGATGTTATTGGGTCCAACTTCTCCACAAACCCTTCCCTGGGCATAGGAAAGCCTGTTTAGCTTCCAAAAAGTGTAATAGGAAGATCTCACTTAAATTGAGCTAGTAGCTGCTTTTACTATATAACTTCTTCCCACTGGTTGCAATTCAGTCTTTAGGAGTAAGATGAAGTAAGGTTTTTCTCAATATATTAGCTAGATTTTCTCTTGTCTAAATGTTAGGACACCTCCAACTTCATATGGTTTCCTTTGCCATCCCTCACATCTCTCAGCTGGATTCAATCAGTTTTGTCAGTGCTATTCTTTGTGTTCTGATCTTGTTTCCATATTTAATTCTGCAGTTATGGTCTGAATGCAAAGTGCAGTGAAATTGTCCCTTTCCTTATTTCAAGCCATACACTTGTGTTTAAAGTCTAAAATTGTATCAACTCTTTAACAACAGTCATCTCTGCTAATTCAAAGCAAAAAGCAGAGAGAGAGAGAGAAATGTTACATGGCTTTTCAAGTTATATTTATGTAATTCAAGGTACTATTTTTTGAGATTTTGTTCTCCTTTTCTAATGTTCATAAATGGCCTTTATTAAATGATAGTGTTAGTAACACCTATTAAGTAATGATAGGTTAAGTTTCTTTTGATGTTGGTCATGGGGTTTTGTTTTATTTTAGTGTTCCTGATTAACCAATAAAAAGTTGGCAGCCTTATGTTGATTCTTAATTTGTTTTCTGAAAAATTGGTCTGGAAACCACTGATGTAGTCAACATAAACCAACATTTTTACACTTAGCTAGATTTCTCCCATTGTGTATAAACACACAGGTGATGTTTTTAAACCAGTATTTTACCATTGCCTCCTATTAAATTTCATCTCCGTGAACGTAGCTATAGTTAAAACTTGAGATCTTCTTGAATCATGATTCTGTCATCCAAGGGATTAGCTTTCCTTCCTGGCTTTTTGACATTTATAAATTCAACAAGCCAAACTCTTATGTCTCCATCCTGGCCATATACTTAATATAGCCAAGGACAAAGCCATGCACATTTATAAATAGAATGAATGTTACATAAATAAAAGATGCTGGGAGGAAAGGTGACACAAAAATAATGAAAACCATTCGGATGGGTTTTTTTTGTTTGTTTGTTTTTGGGGCCTTTTTGTTTGTTTTTGTTTTTGTTTTTTTGAGACGGAGTCTTGCTCTCTCGCCAGGCTGGAGTGCAGTGGCTCAGTCTCGGCTTACTACAACGTCTGCCTCCTGGATTCAAGCTATTCCCCTGCCTCGGCCTCCCGAGTAGCCGGGACTACAGGCACGCCCGGCTAATTTTTTGTATTTTAGTAAAGACAGGGTTTCACCATGTTGGCCAGGATGATCTTGATCTCCTGACCTCATGGTCCACTGCCTAGGCCTCTGAAAGTGCTGGGATTACAGGTGTGAGCCATGGCGCCTGGCCTTGTTTTGTTTTTTAAATTAAAGAGAAAACCATTATATCCTCCAGCAGTAAAGGAATTAGATGAAGTTTACAATATACTGGAGGATATGGATAATTCTTTTACGATGTAAAGTCAAGTAAGGATAGATGCTATGAAGAAAAATTAATCAAGGTAAAGAGACAGTGGTAGAGGACTGCTGTTTTACATTTGTTTTCAAGTGTTCATTCAGGTAGTTTTCAAATAATATTTTGAAAAGAAATAATATGAAAAACCTTTTCACCCTACATCTTATCTGCTGAGTTACCACTTTTGCCAATCCAGTAAGTAGCTATTTTTATTATTTCTTATGTATTCTTCAATGAACTTTATTTATTTATTTATTTATTTATTTATTTATTTATTTTGAGACAGAGTCTTGTTCTGTCGCCCAGGATGGGGTACAGGGGCAGGATCCCAGCTCATTGCAGCCTTGACCCGCTGGGCTTAAGCAATACTCCCACCTCAGCCTGTTGAGTAGCTGGGACTACAAGTGTGCGCCACCATGCCCAGCTAATTTTTTGTAGAGATGAGGTCTCACTATGTTGCCAAGGCTGGTCTTGAATTCCTGAGCTTAAGTGATCCTCTTTCCTCAGCCTCCCAAAGTTCTAGTATTACAGGCATGAACCACCACGCCTGGCCATGAATTTTTCTTCACCTCAAGCAAATATAAATACATATTTTGTGTCCCCTCTATGACACAAAAAAATAGCCTCTTTATCCACTATGCTACACCTTGAGAACTATCTTAGAGTGGTTAGGGAATCCCTCTTTCTGAGGTGACATTTAGCAGAGAACTTGCATTAGGTAAGGAAGCATCTTGTAGGTATCTGAGTGGAGAGTATTCTACTCAGGTGCGGTGGTTCTGAGGCAGGAATGGGATAAGTGAATTTGGAGAACACTGTGGCTGAAGGTGAGTGAGGAAAAGGTGCTTATAGGAGGAAATGAGGTTGCATAGAGATTTTATTCATTGATTTTAAGTGCTATGAGCATTCATTGGAGGATTTTGAGCAAAGCCAAAAAATTGGGTTATATTTTTAAAGAATGGCTCTGGGAATTCTTTAAAACACTGGGAACCATGAGATAAGCTAGGAAATGATTGGAATGATCTGGTTTAAGAGACATTAATGGCTTAGACTAGAGCGACAGTAGTGGCAATAGTGAAAGTTACTAGTTTCTGGCTTTAGAGAGTCAAATGTTTTGGATATGTTAAGTTTGAAGTGTCTGTTAAACGCCCAAGTGGACACATCAGGTAGGCAGTTAGATATGTAAGTCAAGCATTCAGAGGAGAGGTTTGGACTGAGGATAGTTAAATGTTAAGCATCACCAGTAGACTTAAAGGGATCTCTTGGCTAGGGAGTTAGACTGAGAAGAGATCCAAGAATTGAGAATTGGTACTTTCCACATGGAAAGCTGAGCAAAAGAGAAGGCGCCATCGAGGAGGATTGAAAAGTGGACAGTGGGGTGTGAGGAAACTGAAGAGTGTGTTGTCCCACAAGCCAAGTAAAGGAAGTATTTTTAGAGATAAGGAGTGATCAGTCCCCTGTATCACCTTTAATCACCTAAATACTTCATAAGAAATCAGGCAGTATCCTCTTTCTTTCTGAATGGTCTCTGAGAAAGCAATTTCCTTTTTTAAATCTGGTTTATCAACATGAATGTTCACAGTTATTCTCCCCTGGCAACTACTAAATCTAAAGCCCTGAACAAAGTTTTACTCATAAAGAGGCCAATGCTGTTTCCTACGTGGATGAGTATGGCAGCTGCTGCTGCCTCTGATGTTTGAACAGGAGAAGCGATGCTGTTTCATAGGAAGAATTTATCAGGAAGCTAGTGATAGTCCAGCTACCTCAGAGGTTTATTGTGGTAGCCAAACGAGGTAGATGTAAAAACCAAATGAAAGGTATAATTGCAGATAGGGGTCTCCTTCCCTTATTGCCCCAAGTGTGGTACCAACTTGATAGTGTTAGATTTGAAGAACTATGTTGGCAAATAAAAATATTTTTCATTTTGAGTCTGTAGGAATAGTTTTTTACTTCCTATGCACTCTATCCCGATAGGCAGTTTCGCACATCATTTTATAATATTCTTGAGGGTAGAGAAAAGGGCTAGAAAGAGGATAAGAACAACCAGGGCAGGCGCGGTGGCTCACGCCTGTAGTCCCAGCACTTTGGGAGGCCGAAGCGGGTGGATCACCTGAGGTCAGGAGTTCGAGACCAGCCTGGCCAACATGGTGAAACCCCGTCTCTACTAAAAATACAAAAATTAGTCAGGCGTGGTGGCGCAGGCCTGTAATCCCAGCTACTCAGGAGGCTGAGGAAGGAGAATTGCTTGAGCCCAGGAGATGGAGATTGCAGTGAGCCAAGATCACGTCACTGTACTCCAGCCTGGGCAACAGGGTGAGACTCCATCTCAAAAAAGAAAGAAAAGAACAACCAGGCTTTGAGATAATAGCTTTTTTTCCCAATCCTAAACTCATCCTTTAATTCTAAACAGTGTCTAAATAAAGAGAATTGAGGTAGAAAAGTAAGCAAGTTAAAAGGCTTCCTTACTTTTTTTTTCCCTAGGCCAGCCAGGAAGACTTTCTTCTTTTAACTGACTTTTTTCTGGAAAGTGTTCAACTGAGTAATGGTTTGTCACATGTTACATGGAATAGAAAAAGTGCAAATTCAAAGCTTAGGGACTGGTTAGGGGTTTTGAACTCTAGGCAGCCAGCTAGAAACTGATTTGAGGAAGCAGGAGGGTGGGGGAAATGAGTCTGCTTGATGATAATAGGGGTAAAGTGCAAAATACTTATTTTGGTGAAAAAGGAACATCGCAAATACAGGACTTTTTGTGGTAAGCTTTTTGAGGCAATAGGACTATAACTTCACAATACATAGGTATCTTGCAGACCTTATATAATATGATTTGCTATGGCTGGTCATTAAATACTTCTCCTTGGATAAAAAATGCATATAATGCATTGCAAATTGAAGGCCATTTTATTTTTTATATTACAAATCTAATCCTAATACATGGCAGAAAATTTAGAAAACAAGATTTTCTACCATTAAGTACTATCATAATCCCACTAGCCAGTAACCCTGTTATGTATTCTTGTCTATTCTGGTTTAATTTGGTAACATTTTATCATGAAGTTAAACTTTCTGGCTCTAACTTTTAATGTGGCATAGAATCTGTCTTCTCAAACATGTAATCTACTTACACACAATTTATGAAAATTAAATGTATTTTTAAAATTGTAAACAACAGGCCGGGCCCAGTGGCTCATGCCTGTAATCCCAGCACTTTGGGAGGCCGAAGCCAGCAGATCACTTGAGGTCAGGAGTTCAAGACCAGCCTGGCCAACATGGGGAAACCCTGTCTCTACTAAAAATACAAAAATTAGCTGAGCGTGGTGGTGCACACCTGTAATCCCAGCTACTCGGGAGGCTGAGGCAGGAGAATCGCTTTAATCCAGGAGGCAGATGTTGTAGTGAGCTGAGATTGCTCCACTGCACTCCAGCCTGGGTGGCAGAGCGAGACTCTGTCTCAAAAAAAAAAAAAAAAAAAAAAAGTAAACAACACTGTAATGGACATTTCTAACTCTGAATTTCTGTGCAAATCAATGTTTTTCTTTGATTTCAACAAATTATGCTTAAAATACAATGCAGATACAAATGCAGAATTCTACTAATTAAACCTTTTCTAACTTTTTAATAAAATTACCCCCTCCAGTTTATATCAGTTTATTCTTCTACCACTGGCATATGAAACTGTGTGTTTCTTCACCCCTTCATCAGTGCTGAATATTACGTATCTTTTTTAAAATTTGCTTTCTTTTTTCTTTTTTTTTTTGAGACGAGGTCCCGCTCTGTTACCCAGGCTAGAGTGGAGTGGTGTGTTCATGGCTTGCTGCAGCCTTTACCTCCTGGGCTCAAGGGATCCTCTCCGCTCAGTCTCCCAGGTAGCTGGGACTGTAGGCATGGGCTGCCATGCCCATCTAAGTTTTTTTGTTTTCTTTTCTTTTTTGTGTTTTTTTTGTTTTGTTTTTTGTTTTTTGTTTTTTGTTTGTTTGTTTTGTTTTCTTGAGATGGAGTCTTGCTCTGTCGCCCAGGCTGGATTGAAGTGGCGAGATCTCGGCTCACTGCAACCTCTGCCTCGCGGGTTCAAGCAATTCTTCTGCTTCAGCCTCCTGAGTAGCTGGAATTACAGGCACACACCACCACACCTGGCTAATTTTTGTATTTTTAGTAGAGACGGGGTTTCACCATGTTGGTCAGGCTGGTCTTGAACTCCTGACCTCGTGATCCGCTCACCTTGGCCTCCCAAAGTGCTGGGATTACAGGCGTGAGCCACCGCACTGGCCAAGGTTTTTTATTTTTTTATAGAGACAAGGTCTCATTTTGTTCCCTAGGCTGGTCTCAAACTCCTGGGCTCTAGCAGTTTTCCTGTCTCAGCATCCCAAAGTGGTGGGGTTACAGGCATGAGCCACCCAATCTGGACAGTTTTGCCACTTTGATGAACAACAACCAAAAAAAAAAACCTTATTTAAATTTCTTTTATCAATAACACTTGACATTTTTTTAAAATGTGCTTATTGGCCATTGTATTTCTGATCTGAGTTGCTTGTATGTGTGCCTTTTGCACACATACATTATATTCACTTGTTCATCATTATATTCACTTGTAGCAGATTCTAGGATCACCATACTTCTGTTGTATCACCCTGCTTCCCTCACTTATAACAACTTTTGGGTAACAGATACTGTAAAATTTTTTCCCAGATTGTCATTGCCTTTTAAATTTGTTATTTTTACCCAACAAAGATTTTAACATGTATATAGTCAAATTTCTTATTTCCTTTTCCTTATGAAATAATCTCACTACATGAAATTTTATTAAATACATGCCTATCATATTTGTGATTTAAATTTTTACATACAAGTGTGTTAATTGATTTTTTTTTTTAGAATGTATTTAGTCATATATAGCCTGCTGTGTCAGTTTATTGTGTAACTCTTCGGAGTTTTTACTTTCTTTTTTTTTACTTTTTGTGAAACAGGGTTTCACTTTGTCCTCCAGGCTGGAGTGCAGTGGGGGGATCTCCATTCACTGCAGCCTCGATCTCGTGGGCTCAAGCCATCCTCCCGCCTCAGTCCCCCAAGTAATTGGGAATACAGGGCACATGCCACCAGGCCCAGTTAATTTTTTCGTGTTTTTGGTAAAGATGGGGTTTCACCGTGTTGCCCAGGCCGGTCTCAAGTTCCTGAGCTCAAGCTATCTACCTGCCTGAGACTCCCAAAGTGCTGTGATTACAGGCGTGAGCCACGGCTCCTGGCCCAGAGTTTTTACTTTCTAAACTATTTGTTTTTTAGTTTCCTCTTTTCACTAGAGTTAAATTGGGAGGTAAGTTTTTGAGGGTGTGTGTGTGTGTGTGTGTGTGATACAAGGAGCTCTCTATTTTGGGCAGGGGGGTTATTCTAGATTTTTTTCTTTTTTTTGTAATGAAAATTCTCAAATGTACAGGACAGTTGAATTTCACAATGACTACTCATATACTCACCATCTTGATTCTACTAGGAACACGATAGCAGTTTTATCACATACCTAGCCATTTATTTATCATTCCATTCATCAGCATATCTTGTATTTTGATGCATTTCAAAGTAAATTGCAGATATTAGTATTTGTGTGTGTTTAACTAAAGTGTTCTTAAATTAATTGAGGCTAATTATGTTTCAGTTTTACATTTTCCGAATGTACTACTGAAATATTTTCCAACCAATCACTGTTATATTAAAAAAAAGACAGTTAAAAAATGAACATACTGGTTTTCACTCCAGTAGTGTTGGTGAACTAGGTGTTTCTGTAAACAGGTAGCTAAATTGACACAGATGACATTGAGTTATTCCTTTTGGGGGTAGGGCATTTGTGTATGTGTGTGTGTGTGGTGTCTACTTTTAAAGAGGAATGATGGACGGGCGTGGTGGCTCCTGCCTGTGATCTCAATACTTTGGGAGGCTGAGGTAGGCGGATCACAAGGTCAGGAGTTCAAGACCAGCCTCGCCATCATGGTGAAACCCTGTCTCTACTTTAAAAAAATACAAAAATGAGCTGGGCATGGTGGTGTGCACCTGTAGTCCCAGCTACTCGGGAGGCTGAGGCAGGAGAATCACTTGAACCTGGGAGGCAGAGGTTGCAGTGAGCTGAGATCGCCCCACTGGACTCCAGCCTGGGCAACAGAGCAAGACTCTGTCTCCAAAAAATAAATAAATAAATAAATAAATAAATAAATAAATAAATCAGAATGGTAAGTTGAATTTTGTTTTTGTTTTTTAAGCTAAAGAGCTATTTAGGGAAGCTTATATTGTTTCTCTGATCTAGAGGTTCTATCCTTTAGTGGCAAATCCAGGAGTAAATTATTCATTCTAAATTTTATATCTTACTACATTCCACTTCCACTGTCCCCCTACCCTTCTTTACCTACATGAGGAATTCTGTGTTGGTCTATTTAGTAAAAAATGAGAGCCCTTGCTTTATGTTTTACCCTATGACTCTTTCCTTCCTTCCTTTCTCCCTCCCTCTCTCTCACTCTGTCGCCCAGGCTGGAGTGCAGTGGCATGATCATAGCCTACTGCAGCCCCAAACTCCTGGGCTCAAGCGATCCTCCTGTCTCGGCCTCCTAAAGCAGATAGGCATGAGCCACCACGCCTAGCCTTTTCTCTATGATTCTAAGTGGTGTATAACAAATTCCAGAATGTTAAGGATCTGCTATAGAGAATCAACAATTCAAAAATTTAGGACCGGGCGCAGTGGCTTATGCCTGTAAAGCTAGCACTTTGGCAGGCCGAGGCAGGTGAATCACCGGAGGTCGGGAGTTGGAGACCAGCCTGACCAGCATGGAGAAACCCCGTCTCTACTAAAAATACAAAATTAGCTGGGCGCAATGGCGCATGCCTGTAATCCTGGCTACCTGGGAGGCTGAGGTAGGAGAATTGCTTGAACCTGGGAGGCGGAGGTTGCAGTGAGCCGAGATTGCGCCACTGCACTCCAGCCTGGGTGATAGGGCAAAACTCCGTCTTGGAGAAAAAAAAAAAGGATTCAAAATTTATAAATTGGAGAGGCATGAACAAATAGAATCCAAGTCGGTGAAAGGTAAATAAAGTAAAGTTTAGAACTTGGGGAGGGTACCATACCCTGGGGACAAGGGGATGGGACTGCTTGGTATCTGGCAGAAGCAGGTCTAGTGTTTATTGTGAGTAACGTTTAGAACATAACTCATTGGCCGGGCGTGGTGGCTCACACCTGTGATCCCAGCACTTTGGGAGGCCGAGGCAGGTAGATCATGTGGTCAGGAGATCGAGACCATCCTGGCTAACACGGTGAAACCCCGTCTCTACTAAAAATATAAAAAATTAGCCGGGCGTGGTGGCGGGCGCCTGTAGTCCCAGTTACTCGGGAGGCTGAGGCAGGAGAATGGCGTGAACCCGGGAGGTGGAGCTTGTATTGAGCAGAGATCACGCCACTGCACTCCAGCCTGGGCGACAGAGCGAGACTGTCCCAAAAAAAGAAAAAAGAACATAACTCATCACTAGAATCTGGCACCTTTTCCTAGTGGATATTGGGTCGATTCCAAATTAACGTCCTCTGCCCTTCAAATATAACAAGATGAGGGTAGGAATAGTTCATCAAAGAATGCTGTTTTGACAACCATTTGCTTTCATCTACTTCTCAGATGTCTGTTTTTACCACTAGGATTTCTAATGTTTGACTTTCCTTTCTCTCTTGTTCTTGGGCCCAATTTGTAGTCTCCTCCTCCAGTCTGCATTCTAAATCAGTACATTGTGCTTTTCCTGTGCTCTAATATGTTTTCTATTTCTTTCTTTTTGATCTTCCTAGTCAACTTCATAGCCCACTCCCCCTACCCTCCTGTATTGTCACCCCATGCAATCCAAGCTGAAGGAGTCTATTTGAGAGATTAGAAAATGTATACTTTTTTTTTTTTTTTAATGAGAGGGAGTCTCACTATGTTGTCCAGGCTGGAGTGCAGTGGTGAGATCTCGGCTCTCTGCAACCTCTGCCTCCCGGGTTCAAGGGATTCTCCTGCTTCAGCCACCCGATTAGCTGGGATTACAGGCGCCTGCCACCACGCCCAGCTAATTTTTGTATTTTTAGTAGAGATGGGGTTTTGCCATGCTGGCCAGGCTAGTCTCAAACTCCTGACCACAAGTGATCCACCCGCCTCGGCCTCCCAAAGTGCTGGGATTACAGACGCGAGCCACCACTCCCGGCCTACATTTTCTTGATATAGTTAAGATAATCTCTTTATAGCTCTCATCATATCATCACCTTCTTTTATATTTTAAAATACCTTTATAGAAGGTGAAGCATTCTTATCATGTTTTAATTCACAAAGCAGTCATTTTAGTTATAATGACATTTTGGTAAAGAAAGGGATGTCGTTAACATTGTTTTATAAGGCGATTAAATTGCTAGTGTCTGGTTTTTCTGTTTTGCACATTCTAGTTTTGTAGTCTTAATGTGGAGCACACCTGTAGTTTGCAACACTTGGTCTGAACCGAATCTGTGATTCAAAATATTCGTATTCCTTAGTACTTCTAAGTAATTCTTGCAAAAAGTTGTGTTTCATTAACTTTTCATTTTTATGTTCGGAGGCACCCTCCTACACAAAATGAAATTTGCCTTCTACAATTCTCTGTTCATTTAGATATTATTAAAACTTTGAACTTTGTTTTCATAGTGTGAAAATGGAATATTAAGCACTTTGTTGTTTGAATTCGTGCTTCTGGCTGGGCACGGTGGCTTACACCTGTAATCCTAGCACTTTGGAAGGACGAAGCGGGAGGATCATCTGAGGTTAAGAGTTCAAGACCAGCCTGGCCAACATGGTGAAACCTCATCTCTACTAAAAATACAAAAATTAGCCAAGCATGGTGGCAGGCACCTGTAATCCCAGCTACTTGGGAGGCTGAGGCAGGAGAATCACTTGAACCCAGTAGGCAGAGGTAGCAGTGAGCTGAGATCGTGCCATTGCACTCCAGTCTGGGCAACAGAGCAAAAACTCTGTCTCAAAAATAAATGAATAAATAAGTGCATCTTAATCTGTGCACAGTGAAATCTGCAGAATTTCAAAAAAAAAAAAAAAATACAGATACCCATACCTTACCAGTTACATTATAAGTTCAAGTCTTCAGGTATGAAGCCTAGACATATTGATAAATACATACACACATAGAAGTGTTCCTGTGTGTAAAAATCTCCGCAAGTGATTCCAGGTCTAAGAGCCATTAGCTTAAGGTGATCTCCTTAACTAAGGGTTGTCTTCTAGGGAAATAAGGTGGAACGTCTAACCGTGATGGTGAACGGCTTCACTTTCAAAGTGAGGAGATGAATCTTGGAACGGATCATATGGATTGCTTATTGCAATTCTAGTCTGATTTATTTTGTATTAAATGGATTGTATTCTTTTTTTTGAGACAGAGTTTCTTGTTGCCCAGGCTGGAGTGCAATGGCGTGATCTCAGCTCACTGCAACCTCCACCTCCCAGGTTCAAGCAATTCTCCTACCTCAGCCTCCTGAGTAGCTGGGATTACAGGCATGTGCCACCATGCCCAGTTAATTTCGTATTTGTAGTAGAAACAGGGTTTCACCATGTTGGCCAGACTGGTCTCAAACTTCTGACTTCAGGTGATCCACCCTCCTCAGCCTCCCGAAGTGCTGGGATTACAGCCCGGCCAGATTGTATTCATATTACCAAGTAATCAGAAAATTCCCAGTGAATTTTATGTCAGATTTCTAGTATGGCTATTGGCCTATTGATAAAACTTCACCAGAAAAGTTTATATTGTGCCACTATTACCTATTAATATTTGCTGAACATTTACTAAAGTTTCAGGCATCCATACAAGGTACAAGAGATACCAGGATTACTAAGTAATAGCCACTTTACTCAAGCAACTCAGTTTATAAGGGAAAATAGACAAAAATGAATATATTTTGTACAAAGAAGTTTAGGAGTTGCTGTAGGTATATGTGAAGGGCAAGATAGGTGGTCAGAATTGAGAGGCTGGGAATTCTATGGGTGTTTTTCTGGGGGAAGTGATTGCTGGAGAAAGCTCACTATGAAAGGTCTTGGGACAGCATAGAGCTTTCATTTTCAAATTCAGTTGGACATGGAATACAAGGGAGGAGCAGAGTAACATGGGGAGATAACAGGGCTTTTTACTCAAAACTGAAGAGTTTGAATTCTATCTTGAACTCTATAGGGAGCTATTGAAAATTAGGGAGTGAAATTATTACATTTACTTTTATAAATGTAATTTTGATAGCTGGATAGAGGAAGGATTTGGAGAGTGGGAGGCTAGAGACAAGGGATTCAGGTAAAAGAGTTCTGCAGTAATTTATTGGTAAGAACCAGTGGGATAAGAGGAAAGGCACAAAGAAAGATATTTAGGATGTGGAATCAAAGGGACATAATGACTTACCTAACTAAAGCGGGAGTGGGAGAGAAAATATCTGGTCAGTTGGTGATGCCATTCGCTAAGACGGGGAGAACAGGAAAAAAGGCACATTTCGTTAGATGAAAGGGTTCTTTCTGTTTTTTAAAAATTAAATCTGAGGAGTCCAGGAGGACCTTGAACTGGAAATGACTCGTAAGCAGAGGGAAGGTCTGATCTTGTAAAAAAGGTTTTGACTTGAAATTATATGTGTAACATTATAATAAGCAATATTGGAAGCCCAGGGTTTTCAAAGAAGTCCCAAAGAGATTATGTATAGGGAAGTAACCCCGTAAAAACAGAATTTAAAGAAAAAGTAGACACTTTCAAAGAGATTGAGGCGTGCCCACAGAAGTGAGAGGAAAGCAGACTGATACTTGTAGAAGGCAAGAATGGTCAAAGATATTGAGAGGTAATTTAAGATAGCAATACTAGAGATCATTAGATTTAACAGGAGGACATTTTCAACCATGAACCGTTAGCACCATAGTTCAAATTCCAAAAATTACTTTGACTTTGGAAATTCAAATTTACTACTAATATGTGGACTGAGTTCTGTTATAAAATTACTTTCTGATTAGATGATTTGATTTTTTCTTTAATACATGTATATATACCATACACTCTAGTACATTTGCTAAAAGAAAATTCAAATATAATGAGGAAAATTATACTTTTAAAAAATGATCTACCATTAGGTTTTGGGTTACTTCCACTTGTTGGCTATTAATACCAATAATCTTTTATCTGTGTTAGCTTCTGTTTACCCTCAAAATTGCAGAAGCTCTTCTCTAAATGAAATATATCACTATTCTTTTTTTTTTTTCCAGGGCAGTTCACTGTGTTGCCCCAGCTAGAGTGCAATGGCACAGTCTTGGCTCACTGCATCCTTGACCTCCTGGGCCCAAGCGATCTTCCTATCTCAGCCTCCCTTGTAGCTGGGACCACAGGTGCACGTCACCACACCTGGCAATTTATTTATTTTTTTTATTTTTTTGTAGAGACAGGGTGTCACTTTGTTGCCTAGGTTGGTCCTGAATTCCTCGGCTCAAGTGATCGTCCCACCTCGGCCTCCCAGTGTTCAGTGTTCTTTAGGCTGGCTGTGCCTAGCGATTCCCTCCCTTAAGAGAATTCTTGTATTTCACCTTCTCAGAAATAATCAAACTACAGAACAATTCCATTGAACTGTTACATACCTCATGGCATTCTGGTAAAGATAAACCTAATCACTTTAAACATCCATAGCCTAAGAATTACAGTATATGAAAGAACAGTCTTGCCAATACAATGAATATTTAAAAATTTTAGACAAAAGATAGACCCGATTGTTTATATAATTTACTACTTTGTATGAAAGTCATAATGATGCTGTCTTTTTTAAGATGGAGTCTCGTTCTGTTGCCCAGGCTGGAGTGCAGTGGTGTGATCTTGGCCCACTGCGACCTCCACCTGCCAGGCTCAAGCAATTCTCCTGCCTCACCACCCCCAGTAGCTAGGATTACAGGCACCCGCCACAAGGCCCAGCTAATTTTTTATATTTTTAGTAGAGACGGGGGTTTCACCATATTGGCCAGGTTGGTCTCGAACTCCTGACCTCAGGGTGATCCACCCTCCTCGGCCTCCCAAAGTGCTGGGATTACAGGCGTGAGCCACCATGCCTGGCCTATAGTGATACTATCTCAATTAAATTAAAATACAAAGCACTTTATTTTCTTTTGATTAGATTAAAATTTTCTTTTCCAGCATGCATTATTTTATCAGCTATTCTGCATGTTTATATACTATAAGTATGAGGTATTTAACGAAAGCGATCCTTAAGGTAAATAATAGTGTCATTTGTTAGTTTGAGAGCTGAACTAGCTAGAGTGCCACTAGCCATATATGAATATGTAAATTTAAATGAATTAAAATTAAATGAAATTTAAAATTCATCTTTTTAGTTGTATTAGCTGTATTTCAAGTGCTCAATAGTTAACACATGGCTTGTGGCTAATGTATTGGACAGGAATATTTCCATCATCACAGTCTGTTGCACAGTGCTGGTATAGAGATATTTATAAAAATTATAATTTAACATGAAGATAAAAAGAAAAACTGCATAATTTAGGCTAGTAATTAGCAACTTACTGTTATACAGTAAAGTGTGTTAGTGATATATTCACTAAATACATTCTTGCTTAAAATAGACTCTGAGACGTTTCAGTTTTCTACACTTTGAAGTTTCAATTCACTTTTCATATGTTATACTGATAATGCAATGGAAATGATTTGTACCCACCTCCCAAATAGTTAATGTATAGTGAATCAGAAAAGGTATTGAAGATGAACAGAAACCATTTTTAAAGGGCACAAGAATTAGTGATATGCTAAAATTAATTGCAGACACATGGCAGAGAAATTGTTGTCCTGCGTGAGCTAAGAACAGTGAATCAAAGCATTTGACTTTCAGGATCGTAACAGACCCTTAACCCAGACTGCTTTCCTCCCATTGTCACTCCCTCCTGTAGACAGTTTCAGGTCTTCCAGACAGCTTTGTGTGGCTTTTCCTGCTCCTAGTGCTCTATGATCTGACAGTTTTTTAGATTTATAGTTATTTAGTGAACCTGGAGATAGTTTACTATTCTTTCAGAGTCTAGGTTTCTAATCCATGCTATACCCCAGTTTACTAAATTTCCCTCGTTTCTCTAGATTGATCCGCTGATTTTTGGCCAGCTGATTTTTGGTTTTTGGTTTTAATAACTGATTGATTCTTTCTTGTCTGTGAACTTCTCGAGGAGAGAATCTTGGAGCCTGCTGGTGGCCAAACAGGAGGCTGAGAAGATTGAAAATAGGCTGAAATTTACATGAACTGTCAGCATTTATTGCCCAAACAGAGTGTTAGAGAACTCGTTGTTAAGTTAAAATATATTGCATATCATCATACTCCAACTGTAGCCAAATCCGAGACTGGCAGAATCACCTGCATCATTTCGAGGTATATTTAAGAAAAATACAAAGGAGATAGTGATTTGTGGGAAAAGCCCCATATTTGGTAGCTGAAGGCCCAGATTTGAATCTAGGTGGTTCCTGTTTATACTGCATTTGTAACCTTGAATAAGGCTTTAACTTTAGTTTTCTTAAGGGAAAAATGTTTCTTGAATGCTTGTTTTGGGAGTTAAATGAAAGAATGCAAGTATTAATAGAAGCAATTAGCACAGTTACTGGCACAAAGGAGGTACTTGATAAATGTCTGAATCTAAGTCAATTGATTTTTTGGTGTAAAGCAACAAAATTATGCTTTAATGAGGGTAGTACAGTTCTACAAAAGCAAACAAGTCAGACTTTACGTGTTTCATAAACTGACAGGGAAAACCTAGCAAGAATTTTTAATGCCTAGATAATTTATGGAAAAGTATAACTTGTTTTTTCTTAGGTATTTTCTTTAAGCACTTTATTGAATGTTTTTTATGAAGAAATCTTTAATTAAATCACTGGCTTGCTAGCTTTTCCCATCAAATCTAAATCTTCTGTTAAAAATATATAATAAACTCAGACATAGAATATGTGGTGTGGTATTTGGAATGTCATCTTCACTTATTTTTATGAGAATTTTTTTTTTTTTTTAGTTTTAATGCTATATCAGATTTAAGTTGCAGCTTATATTTTTTCTTTAAACCTATTTGCTTTAATTGCCTTTCACAAAAGAATTAATAATGTATATGGCAGATGATAAAGGTAAAATTTAGAGTAGTCATTCCAGAATAATCATGAGTGTATGAAAGCAGAAATTTTCCCAGTAATGAGTTTGTTCACATGAGCATGAAACAAGTATCTTGGTAAGTATCCAAAAAAAGCACAGCTGTGGATTTATCCTTTTGGAGTAACTATAAAACAAGGGTGGAGATTTTAAATAAATGAATTTTTTCCAAGAGTATATTTCATTATGTGTGCCAGATCAAATTAATTATACAGCAGAGCTGAATTTTTGAATATGTTCTAAGCATATGTCAGTTTCTCAAAGATATTTCCGTAGACCACCCCGGCCTGAAGAGCACCACCCGAGTTATCCTGTCCTCTTTGTTTTTTCATGTTTCTTTCTTCCCACTGCCCCTGAGGTTTTCTTATTCATTTATGTAGCTATTTGTTTATTTTTGCTGCTGTGAGATTAGGAACTTTTTCTATCTTGATCCATTCTCTTTCCCCAGTATCTTATAGTGCTTACTACTTGTGAATGAAGAAACAAACTGGGTTTTATTTTATAGTACTCTATAAAATGGGGTCCTCATGTGTAACAGTATATAATGTTTATGTCCATTTTCTCGAACTTGAAGAATTTTTGTAGCTAAAACCAATTATGTCTATATACACACCTATATGTGAAATTCTTAGAACAGTGCCTGATTCATATTAAGTAGTCAATAAATGCTACCAATTATGAATAAAACCATTTGCTTTTATAATATATGATTTGCATTTTACTTGATCCTGAGTTACTATGATGTATGTTTGGACTTTATTTGATAATGAATCCTTAGTTGAAATGCCACCCCTAATTATTTCTTCATTTTCAGAAATACGTGGCATCAAAAGACAGACTTCTGGTGTTGAGGATATATTTTCTGTTAGGGACTTTTTAGGGGTGAAAATGTAAAATAGGATTCCTGAATTTATACATTTGTTTAAAATTGTATCTTTTAGATACTTGGTATGATGGGGTAAAAAGACATGGCATAATTACAGATGCCAGTTGATGCAATGCCTTAGTGTGTTTATTTCAGTTGATAAGCTTTACTGCTGGTTCAGATTACAATTTTGTAAGGTGAAGTGTATCACTTTTAACCCCCCTTTGTTTAGATTTTCATTGATTTTATTAAGAAAACCAGATCATCTTTCTCCTACGATTTATTCTTTCAGGAAACAAAGCTATGTCCTGGGCCAACCCCATGGAGAATATTGTCACCCTTTCATGCCTGTTGGTACCAAAAGAAAAGTTGTCACATGGATGCCTAAGTAGATAATATCTTATTAAAATGAGAAATGCATAAGCTAGAGAAAAGCATTTCCTACTGTGTAGACGATAGTCCTAATGTGAGGCCAGCTATTTCTTTCTCTACTGTGTAGACCGATAGTCCTAATGTGAGGCCAGCTATTTCTTTCTCTGCAATAGCAGGAGTTGTGGGGTGAGAGGAGGTTTAATCTTTATAAAGCCATCTGGTGATGAATCAGCCAGCCAATTGCCAGACCATAAGGATAGACTGCCCTTAACATGTGTTTTAGCTCAAGTAATTGTATACACTGACTATCATTTATAGAATAATGATTTTTTCTCAGGCTTAATAATCTGAGTAAACCAGTTTCTTTTTATGGGTGATATGGTGCACTATTTTGTAGTTCTCTTGTTATACTGTCATATATCAAGTGCACTTACTTATTATTGCCTGTCTCAACTTAAGTATTATAGTAATTAACATCATTCAGACCCCTCTTGCCATCATTCCTCGATTTGAATGATATGTGAATAGGAACAACGTTTTAAAATATATATATATATATATATATATATTTTTTTTTTGAGATGGAGTCTTGCTCTGTTGCCCAGTCTGGAGTACAGTGGCGTGATCTTGGCTCACTGTAAGCTCCGCCTCCTGGGTTCACACCATTCTCCTGCCTCAGCCTCCTAATTAGCTGGGACTACAGGCGCCTGCCACCACAATCGGCTAATTTTTTGTATTTTTAATAGAGACAGGGTTTCACCATGTTAGCCAGGATGGTCTTGATCTCCTGACCTCGTGATCTGCCCGCCTCGGCCTCCCAAAGTGCTGGGATTACAGGCGTGAGCCACCGCGCCTGGCCTGAAATATTTTTAAAAAGCAGTAAAATGTATGTAATTTTAAACCTGTGTAGTGAAGCTGTGTGCTCTGCTCAATAGCTGCAGAGTTTTTCTTTGTTTCATGTTTATTTAGAATGTAAAACTTAGATATTTACATTTTAGTCCATTAAATCATGAAAAGAACTCTGATTTAGCAGGAAAGTCAGTTTTTAAAGTTAATGATAGCTTTAAATGTAAATGTAATGATAGTTCCATGTAAATGGAACTGTGATGCTGGGCCAGTGTTCACATCCATCTGACACCCAAGTGTCTGAGCTTTCAACTTTTCTCAGATTGCTAGTGAAAACAGCTTTATGTGACAAAAAGATAAAGAATAAGAAAGAGACAACCGAAGAGGACTATAACTAGGATTTTTTAATGGCTAGATTGAATTGCTGTCAAAGGTTAGATGATTAATTTCACCTCCTGCCCCTGGAAATTTCTAGGTTATCCTCACTTCAAGACTTGTAGCAGCTCCAAAGCTACTCATTCATTGAAAAATAGCTTGTCAAATGCTCACTGTAGATGAAACATTGGGGTAGGCTCAAGGGATACAAAGATGAAAAAGTGTCTCTGTATTTCAGCTCTGTGCTGGTTTAGAATGATACCATCCCTACCGTCACCATCCATGTCTGGAGTAATGACAACCTCCTGTTGTTCTAGTAACACCCTAGGTTTATCTCTGTCATGGCATCTACTACCATTCCCTGCAGTAGTGAGTTCCTTGAGGCAAGATATTTTTGTTTGTTTTATCTTTATGTGTCCTTGATCCTCAGAGTGTCTGGATTCCGCAGGCTTCTCAATAGCTGTTGAAAGAAGGGAGGAATGGAGGAAGACAGTTTTGCTGCCTTCAAAGAGCTCATCAACTTGAGGTGTAATCATATCGTTACAGTATAGAATTATTAATACTAAAAATGATACTTTAAATTGTAGCATAATGTTTGAACAAAATATTGTGGGACTACAGAGAAAAGTATGGCTAACTCTGCCCTGGGGGAATGGGAATAAACTTACCAAAAAGCAAATCTGTTAGTTTTGTACTTTCTCATACTCTTTGAGATTTCCTAAATGCTGAAATTGATAAGCACAGAAGATAGAGACTGATATAATTTTGTATTATGTCTAGTCTGCTTTCAAGAACAAGTACTACAGTATTAGAAGAGACACTGAAGGCCAGGCATGGGGGCTCACACCTGTAATCTCAGCACTTTGAGAGGCTGAAGCGGGTGGATTGCTTGAACTCATGAGTTCAAGACCAGCCTGGGAAACATGGCAAAACCCCATCTCTAAAAAAATACAAAAATTAGTCAGGTGTGGTGCTGCACACCTGTAGTCCCCGTTACTCAAGAAGGTGAGGTGGGAGCCTGGAGCTTGAGCTTGGGAGGTGGAGGTTGCAGTGTGCTGAGATCTTGCCACTGAACTCCTGCCTGAGCAATAGAGAGCCAGACCTTGTCTCAAAAAGAAAAAAAAAGAAGAAGAAGAAGAAGAAAAGACAGTGAGGATTGCTGATGTGGAAAAATGGAAGAATTTGGGGGTTTGCTTTAGGTGTATTATTAATCACTTTAAATGAAGTGCTGGAATTACAGGCATGAGCCACCGCACCCAGCATAAAGATGGTTTTAATTCTGTCATTGATGTATTTGTCTTCTGTATGTGTTTTTTCTTTTATTCTTTTATTATTGTCTTTTTAAAAATTGAACTTTTTTGTAGTGTATCATTTTGATTTCCCTTTCTTTCACTGTATATTTTTAATGTATTTTCTTAGTGGTTACCTTGGCGATTCCAATTAATATCTTAAACTTATAAACCTAGTTTGAATATATCAATTTAGTTTCAAGAGTATACAGATACTTTGCTTGTGCACATCTCCATTCCTCCCCCGTAATATTATAATTGTCACAAATTACACCTTTATACTTTCCAGTAACATATTATAATTATTGCTTTATGAACTTGTTTATTAAACCATATGGGAAAAACAGAAGTTACAAACCATATGAAAAGTATGAAAACAGTGGATTTATATTTAGCTTTATAGATACCTTTATCAGTGGTTTTAAAAATTTTTTTCACAGTTTTAAGTTACTGTCTAGTGTCCTTTCATTGCAGCCCAAATGTCTTTCACATTTTTTGTAGGGCACTGTACTGACAAAAAAAAAAACTGTGTCAGCTATTGTTTAACTAGAAATATCTTAATTTCTGCTTGCTTAAAAAAAATAATAATGATGATAATAATAATAATAATGATGATGATGATGATGATGATGATGATGATGATGATGCTTGAAAGATAGTTTTGCTGGGTATAAAATTCTTGATTGACAGTTTTTTTTTTTCTTCTCCTTTCCCACTGCTATCCCACTGCTTTCTAGTCTCCATAGTTTCTGAGAAGAAATCTGCTGTTTATCTTACTGAGGCTCCATTGTACATGAAGAGTCACTTCTGTCACTGTTTTCAAAATTCTTTCTATTTCTTTAGGTTCTGACAATTTGACTGTAATGTTTCTTGTGTGGAGCTCTTTGAGTTTATCTGCTGGTAGTTTATTGAGCTTCTAGGATGTGTGTATTGATGTATTTTGGAAGTATTTTTCCATTAAGACTTCAAATACTTTTCTGTCATATTTCCTTCTGGGACACCTATATGTGTATATTAGTATGTTTGATGATATCCTACTGGTGCCTCAGGCTCTGTTCATTTTACTTCATTTGTTTTTCTGCTTCTCATATTGAAGATAAGACAGCCTCACTGTTCTTATCTTCAGGTTCACTGAACCTTTCTAACTCCTCCTCATATCTGCTTTTGAGCCCCTCTATTGAGTTTTTCTTACTTCAGTTAGTCTGCTTTTTAGCTCCAGAATATGTTTGGTTCCGTTTCATAATTTCTGTCTTCCTACTGATATTCTCATTTTTTTCATACACTGTTTTGCTAATTTTTTTGTTGATGGTTTTCTTTAGCTCATTCAACATATTTAAGACAGTAGATAGTTGATTTAACACCTTCAACTAATAACTACAATGGGCTTTAACGGGAGAGTTTCTGTCAAATCTTTTTTGTTGTTTCTTTATTTTCATTATGTTATTTTTTGGTTTTTGAGAACTGTATTTTGTATCTTATTTTTATTTATTCATTTGTTTTGAGGCAGTGTTTCACTCTGTTGCCCAGACTGACGTGCAGGGCATGATCATGGCTCACTGCAGCTTCAACCTCCTGGATGCCACCATGCCCAGCTATTTTTTTTTTTATTTTT
Organism: Homo sapiens; assembly: GCF_000001405.40. NCBI lineage: Eukaryota > Metazoa > Chordata > Mammalia > Primates > Hominidae > Homo > Homo sapiens. The sequence goes on along the minus strand of NT_187519.1, from coordinate 242,296 downwards.
CATAGATATGAGGTCTCATTATGTTGCCCAGGCTGGTCTTGAATTCCTGGGCTCAAGGAATCCTCCTGCCTCCACCTCCCAAAGTGGAGAGATTACATATGTGGGCTACCATGCCCGGTGAGAACTAGACCTTTTAAACATTATGTTGTGGTAGATCTGGAAATGTAATCCTTCCACTCTCCAGGGATTGCTGAATCTTACTTGTTGAGGGTTAAAGTGATGATCTGTTTGTGACTTTTGTAAACTGTTTTTGCAAGGTGTGTAGTTTTTGTTATAATGTGGTCACTGAAGTTTCTTCTGTTTCCTCTGTGGTCAGCTATTGACCTGATAAAGATTGCTTTCAATATCTGGCCTCAAAAAGGAGAAAGAAAAACAAACACACACACATTGTCTTTATATAATAAATTCCTTGGAAGTTTCTTAGGTCCGTGGGTATTGAAGTAGGTGGCCAGCTTTTGTATTGGTTTCTCAGTAATCAAAAGCAACAATGAGATCATGCAATCCAGTATTTGGAAGACTAGTTCCTTTTTGTGTACCCTGGCTCCAGGAAGCCACACTAGGAATGCAGGAGGCTGTCTCCAGGCTGCTTCTTGGAGCTGTTGGGATTGTGGCTGTGGAATGAGTGATAGCTGCTACCATGAAAGATGGCAATTCCATGACATTTGTCACCCTCTTTTACCATACGCCAGAGTTCCAAAATAGTCACTTCAGATCATTTCTGTCAATTGCATCTTTAGATGCTATCTTCTTGGCCTTTTTTTTCCCTCCTTACAAGCAGGATACCTGAAATGCCGAAACGTAATGTATATATTTTTGCAGTCATTTAGAAAGCATGAGGGACTGGTAATTTAATTCAGAAAGCCTATTCAAAAACCCATGTCTATTTGACTAATCCAGAAATTCTGGAAAGAAATATACCTGCTATCACATCTGGTTAAGACCTTGGTTGTGTTCTGTACAAGTTGCAAACCCACAGGCTCCTTTCCCACCATTTAGCGGAACCTGAGTTGAGTCACGTGCCTTGGCTACTGAAGAAACCACCAATCAGGTTTTAGTTTTATCCATGTGTGGGTGTTAGTAATATCCAATTAGTAGAAAAAGAGTGTCTTAATACTGAGGGACCAGTCGGAAAGCTGTCTGACAGGGAGAAAGTCTCATATAAAAACAGACAGTAGCTTCCTGTTATATCACATTCCCACTCAGCAGAGAAGCTGTAAGTGGACTCAGGGTCATTCCCCAGCTCAAGAAATAAATATTCCACATCTTGAGTATTAATGTGTTTTGTTTGTATTTTTCAGAAACTATGTATTCTTTTAAGTCTTATTAAAGTCAAGATGAAATATGTAAAAAGCCATTGTTTTTATTTTATTTTATCCAACTGTATAATTATTGTATGTTTATATTGTACATATTAGAGCATATGAATAATGCTTATTAACTCTGGGACTTTGCTATATTAAGAAACTGTTTCTGTTATCCGTATTTGGCTGTCATGTTTTAGTTTACTGTATGTAGGCTGGATTTATTTTCTTTTAACATGTCTTAATATTGGGTTTTGTTTCAGTTCCCTTGAGTAAACGTGTAACTGTTGACCTGTTTATTCATGTTGTGTTTTAAAATCGTCCCCTGAAAATACAGTATGCAAATTATATACTATATTTAGATCGGAGGGCTTTTTTCTCCAGTAAAATTTGGATTCACCTTTATAGACTTGGCCAGGAAGTATATATTCTGAACCAGGGAAAGAAATGCTAAAAACCAAATTGACAAAGTAGACAGATGGAAGACCAACAACATCTGCATTAAGAAGTTGAGTAAATGGGAGATTTAATAATCCACATAAATCAACTATATCAAATAAGCTGAGGAGGGAGTACGAGTTGATTGTTGTAGCTTTACAGAAAATTATTTACTTGCTTTGATGAAACCCATTGTTTTTTCATGTGTGTATAGATAACATATGATATTCAAGATTTTACCTTAACATAAAGTTCTGCATTTTACAGGATTTTGGTTTAATATATAGAGATATATTTCTTATTGCAGAATATTTCATTTTACTGTAGTATAGTTTGCCTCTAATTCAAGTGTAGTAGAATATACAGTTGAATGGGAAAATATTTACAAGTATTATTCTTTTGATTCATAAGAAAGAACTTGAGTGCAAACTGACATTATTCTTATTTTACTGAAGAAGAAACTAAGGGACATGGGATAAATAGCTAGCCTAAGGTCATGCAGAATAAAAAGTGGTGGAACCAGGATTCAGACTCACATCTGTCTATATGACTCCAGGGCTTATTCCCTTAATGACCAAGCCCCATTCTCTAGGATAACTATTCTCAAAGCTCTCAGTCCAAAGGCCTTCGGTAAACCTTACAAGGGTCCACAGGGTCAAAACCTTTTTCGTAATGACATCAAAGCATTATTTGCCTTTTTTATTGTATTGACATTTGCCCTGACATTACAAAAACAATGGAAGTTTTTGGCTCTTTAGCATAGATCAAAGTAGTGGCACCAAATTCTCCAAGGAGTAATTGTATTCATCATTGCTGTATACTCCTGAGTTTGTTTGTTTGTTTTTTAAGCCAGTTTCACTTAAGAATGTTCTCGATGAAATGGTAAAAGTTATTAATTGTATTAAATCTGACCCTTGAATCACATCTTTTGAATATTCTATGTGACTAAATAGAAGTATGCATAGAGCACTTATGCTGTATACCAAAGTGCTGTGGTTTTCTGAAGGAGAAATTGTGTCCTTATGTGAGTTGTCTGCAGAACTAGACTCTTGATTTAATAAAATACCACTTTACTTTAAACAAATGACTGAGAGACACATTTTGGTTATATACACTTGGGTGTTTGACAGACAACGTGAGCTTGTCACTTCAAGGAATTTAAGTGACAGGATTTTTTTTTTTTGACCAATGATAATATTTGAGCTGTCAAGAGGAAGTTAGAATTTTAGAAAACTTGATTCTGCCATCATGAGCTTAACAGCTTCCCTGTACTTAAAAGACTTTTATGGTAAGATAGGTGGTAATATTAACGAGTGTGATGTTTTAAAATAGTATAATGAAACACGTCAACATTTGGAAGATCTTCATTACTCAGGAAATCAATATTTTCCCAAGGACCAATACGTGGTGTTACAAAATCCCATCAAAATATAAGATGGATTTTCTTTTTTTGTTTTTTTGAGACGGAGTTTCACTCCTGTTGCCCAGGATGAAGTGCAGTGGCGTGATCTCAGCTAACTGCAACTTCTGCCTCCCGGGTTCAAGTGATTCCCGTGCCTCACCCTCCCGAGTAGCTGGGATTACAGGTGCACACCACCATGCCCAGCTAATTTTGTATTTTTAGTAGAGTCGGGGTTTCTCCGTGTTGGTCAGACTGGTCTTGAGCTCCTGACCTCAGGTGATCTGCCCGCCTCGGCCTCCCAAAGTGCTGGGATTACCGGCGTGAGCCACTGTGCCTAGCCATAAGATGGATTTTCCTATAACATTGTGTGAAAAGTTCATTAATATGGTTTCAGATTCCATATTGCAAAAAACCTTCAAGAAATTACTGCTTATATAATTTTTATGTAGTATCAAAGAAATTACAAAATAATTACAATTATTTGAAAAGCCTATTAAATTACCTCTCCCTTTTCCACCTGTTTATGTGTATGAAGCCAGGTTTTCTTTATATAGTTCAAGTTAAGCAGTATATGGCAATGGATTAAATTCAAAGCTGATACCAGTTTTATTTTTTTAAGGTAGACATTAAAGAGATTTGCAAAATGTAAAATAGTGCTACTCTTCTCACTTATTTTTGTTTTGGAAAATATGGTTACTTTGTTATAGAAATGTTAGTAATTTTTAAATGAAATTGGGTTAATGTTATCTTAATAAATACCAGTTTCATTTTAATATGTAAACTATATATATACATACATATATGTGTATATATATGTACATGTCTATCTCTCTATAGATATATATATATCTAGATATATATATCTAGATATATATATATCTATAGAGAGATAGACATGTACATATATATACACATATATACACACGTATATACATATATATACGTGTATATATATAGATATATTTATATCTAGATATAGATATATATATCTAGATATATATATCTAGAGATAGATATATATACGTGTGTATATATATCTAGATATATATACGTGTATATATATAGATAGATAGATAGATATGTATTGCCCATGTAAACAAATGCTCTTTGGAGTTCATTTTTTAAAGAGTATAAAAGGGTCCCAAGAACAGAATGTTTCAGAATTGCTGTTCTAGGAAAACGTATTAAGACAATAAAGTACATGTGAGGAAAAAGAAATTGAAATTGCATTCTGTGGTTTACACCTGATAGACAAAAGAGCAATTTATTTGGTCAACATAGTTCTTAATCAGGTATCATATATACTTACTGAATTCATTGTGTCTTTCTCAAACCATTTGTACCTAAGACATTTATTGGTACAGTATTGCTATTTTTCTAATACTAACATGATGCTAACATGAGCATTTACTTGAGGATTATAGACCTTTATAAACTGTGCTAAAAGGCTTTCAGAAGTATGAAAACTATAAAAGTTTGCTAGTTGAGCACCCACTTACTGCCTTAGTCTCTTCCTTTTTAACTGGACTCTTAGTGGATTCCGTGGGCTTACTTCACTGATGAGAATTTAGTATATATGTCATTTCCTGGGACCTGTGGACAGTTCATTTAATTAAGTATAAATGTTGATGAACGCAGTTCTATTCTTAGGCCTTCCAGTGTTTGGTGAATAGCCACTAAAGCTAAAAATATCTGAACGTATATTTTTCTTCATGTTTCTCTTCAGGATGACGTAGCTTTGCCAAAGACTTAGAAGCTAAGCAGAAAATGAGCTTAACATCCTGGTTTTTGGTGAGCAGTGGAGGCACTCGCCACAGGCTGCCACGAGAAATGATTTTTGTTGGAAGAGATGACTGTGAGCTCATGTTGCAGGTAATTGTGTCAAGCTTCTCTATATGTGTTTATTCAAAACTTGAAATTAGTGTAAAATCTTTTTCTACTCCTTTAGAAAACAGTGCTATTTAGATTTGAACTTTCTCTCCTTTTAGCTCCAGCTATCATTCTAATTAATTTTTTGCCCCCTTGAATCATCTAAAAAAAGTTCTAAGTCTTGAAGATTCAATTTAGAAAAATAAATTCTCAGAATAAAGAAGTTTATTAGTAAGCAGAAAGTTTCACATTATATGCTTTTAAAATAAGACATTGCAAAAATCAGCATAGCATGGAGTAAAACTGAATTTTGATCACTGATACTTCAGTGATAATGGAAGTTAGTTTCATCACTTTTAGAGATGTTCATTATGATACCTGCCAGGAGTTCAAGCATAAGTGAAGATTGTTGACAATTTTTAAAAGTAAATTTTATTGTGTATATTTAAGGTATACAACGTGATGTTATGTGATACACACAGATAGTATAAAAGTTACTGTAAGTTACTCCAAGTAAAATGGATCCTCAAGAGTGCACAGCCTCAGGAAGAGGGTCTCTATAGGGGTAAGAATCAGATGGAGGAGGCATAGATTCTTACAGGGAAAACACTATAAAACAAGTTCATCCAACCTGAGGCCCAGGACGGCTTTGAATGCGGCCCAGCACAAATTCATAAACTTGCTTAAAATATCATGAGGTGTTTTTTTTGCAATTTTTTTTTTTTTTAGTTCATCAGCTGTTGTTAGTGTATTTTATGTGTGACCCAAGACAATTCTTCTTCCAGTGTGGCCCGGGGAAGCCGAAAGATTGGACACCCTTGCTATAAAAGGACAGGGACTGGAGTCTTTCATTCTTACCAGAAGTTTAAGTAACAGGAAAAAAAGGGCCTGGTCAAAATTGCCTATCTTTGCAGTTTTAAGCTCAGATCAGCTAAGGTTTTCCCATTAGTATCAGAAACGTGATTAAGTTAGCAGTCTTTGTTAGGATTTAAATTATGTATTTCTGAGAGATTTTTATTAAATTTTCATTGAAATATCCAAATGGGTTGTGAATATCAAGTTGTCATGCACCTTCTGGTTCAGTTTAATCTAGAGGAAATGTGAATTTGATTATATAGAAATGAAAACAGTTTAATGCTTAAGTGGTTAGATATCCATTACATATTCTTCCTATTCCCTCAGTTTTCCTTGACTCGGTCACTAGATGTATTATGTTCTGTAATCTTGGTCTTCTGCTTAATTCCTGTCATGGGTGCTGAAACACATTGATACTTTATATACATTTCATAATAACTAAAAACATAGGAATTTTTTTTTCATTGGCTGCTTTTTTAAAAAAATAGTTACACAAATGGGATTGTCTTATTCTGTGAGTACTAAACTGATCTTCTTTGCCTTGAGTTCCTGACTACTCTTCTTGAATTGTTACTGTCTTTATTAAACAAACAAACGATGTATTCTTGTGATCCCACATAACAGGCCCACTCCTCACTCCCTAATCCCCAGAGTTGTAATGGCATCTCACTCGACTCAGTGGACTCTGTTGTTCTCTTAGGTCTTAAGTGTGCTCTGTCTTTTGCTGTAGGTGTTTATGTACCGTCAGTGTTCACCATAAGCAGTTGGAGGGCGGGGTACATTGTAGATTAAGGATATTCCAGATTTCAAACAAGTTGTTCACTTAGTGAAGCAGCCTGTCCTAAATTACTTCCTCCCCAAATCACTTTTTCTCAATATCCCTCATCTGTGTTTATCACACTCCTTCGAAAGCCACCATTCTCTGGCTCCATGAGTAGCCATTTGACTCCTTTAGTCCTATATCTAATGGTAACATTTCACTTTGCTTTGGAATTTGCCTTTTCTCAACTCTAATTTAGATTTTTTTCTTTGAATTTCAGTCCATTGTCCAAAGGATTTCTGCCCTTTTCCTATGTACTCTTTTCCTCAGAGAGAGATTATTTATGAGGATCCATTCAGTATTTATTGAGAGCCTACATGTACTTGAAATCTCACTTCTCTTAACAACATTTGGAGGTTTTATCCTTAGACTAGATCAACTTGATACATCAACAATATGGTGAAATTATTTTGCTGAGTGGTGCGTTGTTGCTTCTTGCCAACTTAAGAACTGAATTTAGTATTTCATTAGTTTAACCAGATGAATAAAAATTCAAAGTAATGAAAACAAAAATGAATTTTAAGCAATTTTTAGATTTAATGCAGGAGTTTTTTTAAATCTCAAGTTGGTCCACCCTCAAGTCTCTAGCAATTAATCACTTCACCTTTAAGTTGTCCTACTGGTTGCTGTTTCTAGCGGAGGCTTCTGCTCCTGGCAAGCTGTGATTCTCTCTGTATTTGCTTGTCTCTCTACTTTTCAGGGTGGTAATTTGCCTTGTGACCTCAGGTCTCTGAAAAACTAAGATGAGTTTTTGGTTTTCAGTTTGTTCAACATTTTTCTTATTATGAAGATGGGAGCGATGACTTCAGATTCTTTCCATGTTGGACCAAAAATTGGAAGTCATGTCTGTTCCCCATTTTTGATACTCTCTTTGCTTTTAGTATACCAGGGTTCACACAGTAACCCCGTAATACATGGTGATCAAGTTCAGATTCACTGGTTCACAGACTGTTTCTTCTGTGACTATAATGATATTTCCTTTCAATACCAATTTCCACAGGCTTATCGTTCTGCTTTTGGGTGCTTCCATCTGCAGACAACTTACTAAGCTCTGGAGAGAGACAGAGAGAGAGAAAACTTTAAAAGAAACTTAAAAGCAATTTTCAAAAACCACAGTTTGCCATTAAAATACCTTTCTTTTGACTTTCAGTCCCTTTCCCTCTTAGAGCTGTCCCGTGAATTCCAGTTTTAGAGCCCATATTTTAAATGAAGATAATTTTGTTCTGAAACATGTCATATTGTGTCCCTTTTCCTCTAAATCTTTGGACTCTTTGAATAGTTTATGCTCATTTTTTGTTTTGAAAGAAGAAAATCCTACAAGGTAAATGTTTTTTACAATAAGATATGTAAAACATGGTAAAATTATAATTCACATGATTTCTCTATAACAGTTTTAAATTTAAAAAAATTAAGTTAATACATTCAGCGAAGTCAGCTGATGTAAATTCTTAATAGAACATGTGAATTTAGTAGAAAAGAATATCTTTAAAATTTTATGTTTTCCTCTTTGGGCAGTGATGCTAAAAAGATTTTGTTGTATAGTGGCACCGTTTTAATCTCATTTAATCCACACTTACTTTGATATTTCCCTATATTTACTGTCCTATTAATATTAGGTATCTAGCCAAAATGTGACTGGTATTTATTCTAGTATTTTCTTATATTTATTAACTGACAACATTCCTTTCAGTCTCGTAGTGTGGATAAGCAACACGCTGTCATCAACTATGATGCGTCTACGGATGAGCATTTAGTGAAGGATTTGGGCAGCCTCAATGGGGTAAGTCAATGGTTTATTTTTTGTCTTGTTTGAACATTTGTTTAATATTGTAAGAATAAAAATCAGATTACATTTCCTAGCTACATTTTCTTTTTCTTTACTTTGTATGTTATTTTCAAATGCTTATCAGGTACATAGCACTTTGGGGACCATCCAATAGAATATGAAACTAGCCCATATTCCAAAGAAACTATAAGCAGATGAATCCAGAAGGTGGTTGTCATTGTCTGTGATGGCTAAAGAAGACTTCTTTAAGGAGTTGGAACCTAAGCTTGACTTCACTATATGGCTGTAATTTATATGAGGGAAAACGGTAAAAAGTCATGGCAGTGAGAATGCAAAAAAGTACTCTCAGGGACAGAGAAGTAATGGTTAAGTTTAGAAAATAAAGATGGAGCTGGGGCCGGGCGCGGTGGCTCACGCCTGTCATCCCAGCCCTTTGGGAGGCCGAGGCGGGCGGATCACGAGGTCAGGAGATCCAGACCATCCTGGCTAACACGGTGAACCCCCTCTCTACTAAACATGCAAAAAATTAGCCGGGTGTGGTGGCGGGCTCCTGTAGTCCCAGCTACTCGGTAGTCTGAGGCAGGAGAATGGCGTGAACCCGGGAGGCGGAGCTTGTTGTGAGCCGAGACAGCGCCACTGCACTCCAGCCTGGGCGACAGAACAAGCAAGACTGCGTCTCAAAAAAAAGAAAAGAAAAGAAAGATGGAAAGGTGCCAGAGAGTAGACAACTTTCTCTGCTAGGGTAAAAAAGGTGAAACAACACAACCATTTGCCTTCACAAATATAGCACATTATCTAACCGCCATTGTTCATTATTCTTGGAATTCATACTTTGAATATATTTTTGTGTTACTGAAGTGAATTTTTTCTTATTTCTTCATTTGGTCTGTCTACATTTGGCATAATATAAGTAGCTACAAACTAAAAAGAGTGCTGAAGTATTGAATTATTTCTTTTATTTCAGTTTCTTCATTTGCTTATGGTTCTGCTAACACAAGCAAATACTGTGTTGTTCCTATCTGTGCTGCTGAAATTCTTAAAATGAATTTAACAGAAATAAGTGCATCCCAACTGCTTCAGACTATTCATGCTTTTCAAATGTACATCAAACATTATGTACAAGAACATGCAGAAATTTGGCAAATATGGTAATACATTTTTTTTAACCAATTCTGAATTGGCCTGCTACTGAAGGACTTTTATATTTATTCTTTGAGATAAATACAAATTTTTTGTAGGCATGTTTTCCTGTTGGTTTTATTCAAGCCTTTTTTTTTCTCTGTTGGTTTTATTCAAGCATTTTTTTTTCTCAAAGCATGTAGAATTAAGTGTATGTTCTTCATGTTTGCCCTGAAAACTCTCACATTTAGCATTATCCACCTTTCCAGATTGATGCTCCATCATTACATTTTCCCTTGCTCTTCTTCCAAACAGTAGTCTTCCTGCTATGCTATGTCTTTCTTCAAATAATTTGTTAGATTTTCTTCAGTCTACTCTTTCTCCCATCTGCCTTGCCATTTATAAAAGTTTTACACATTTTTTAAAATAAAGCTCAAATTCTACTTCTTTTTGAAGAGATGAAACAAAGGCCCGTTTACTTAGGAATTTTAACCTGCTGATGTTGACATGTTGAAAGGATTAAAATTAGCAGAGATAGGCAAAGTAGGTAGAAACTGTTGTAACATTAGGCATGAATGTTAGCAATTTTGATTCTCAACTCCTCTTTGCTAGAATTTCTCTCTTCCTTCTCCACACATAAGCCTTTGTGTCCTTGATCAGCCTGGTATTAAATCTACTTTTATACCTCTGTAGCTATGCTGACTTATGAGCTCCTGAATAAGTTCATGTGCCTTCTGCTTCTGTGACCACAGTGCCTAGCAGAGGGCTCTGCACAGTGCATGAACCCAGTAAATCTTTCTTTAGTGGAATTGAATTAATTTTCTACTTGAAGAATTTATAGTGAAAAATTTTAACTTCTATATGTGGAACATTTTGACAATGTTATATTGTCTTTAAGTCTAGAAAGTTTCATCTTGACAACAGATGAACAGTGGTAGTCTGTATGTCTTTACATTGTTATTTTGGAAAATAAGCAGCGGGAATTACATCAGCATTTTAGTCTTTTAAAAGCCTATGCTCAAATATGGAAATTACTTGGTATTGGTTCCAAAAATAATCAGGTGAAACATGACATTTTTCTAGGTTGGCCTTTCTTATAATTTGATTATACTCAATAATATTGTGAAAGATACTAACTCATGGAGAGCGACATCTGCATTTTAAGCTTGAAATCAGGACCAGGATTTGAAACTCAGATCTGTTATTTATCAGCAGTGTAACCTGGGACAAATCACTTAATCTCTCTGAAATTCAGTTTCCTCATATATACTACCTTCCAAAGTGTGTAAACATGTAATGAGTTGAAGTTTATGAAAGCAAAGATGCAATGCAGAATCTTGCTTCAGCTATTAAATGATGAAATAATTCCTGCTCTGTAGTATTGTTATGAGGATTAAATGTAACAGTACATTTGAGTGTGCGCTTAGTATAGAACTTTAAAGCATTACATAAATGATAAATATACTGTTACCCAAATGACAGCCTAAGAAACATGCCACAAAGGTCTTTAGCAGCCAAAAAATGTCAAAAGTCTATGAACTACCAACTATCATGCATTTTAGTCATAAGAGAACTTGTAGACTATTATTCGCAGCCTATTTACTCTTATTATCCATATTATTCTAGAACTTTAAGTATCAGGTTAAAAGTAGTACTTTTGGAGGTAGGAGGACACAGTGTAGTGGTTATGAACCCAGCTTTGATGTCACCTTGGACAAATTACCTAAGTTCTCTATTCCTCAATTTTTTAAAAAATAGAAATAATAAAATGGTACTCACAGGTTGTGTGAGCGTGTTGTATGTGTTGTAAAGATATAAATAAGCTAATAATTTTAAACAACAGTACATAGTAAGCATTCAGTAAATGTAAGTTATTTTTATTATGGTAAGAAAAGCAGCAAAGACAAGTTTAGCAACCTGTAGCCTATATACTTTTCAAAGAATTCACTGTTACTGTTTAGAAAAATCACTTACCAACTAAATTCAACTTAAAAGTGATCATTTCCACTCCTGTCCCCTTTCACCCTAGCCCAGAATACACTCCCAAGGGACCTAGATCTACAATTTACAGAATTGCCACCAGAAATGAGGTTGTTCTGCCTGAGAAAGCTACAGTCGGTTCCGTTGCTGATATTTTAACGGGCCATTTTCCTGCAAACCCATTGAAGGTTCTCTTTCTTTGGGAACCCCTGTTTGCCTTCAGTTCCCCCTGCCTCCTCCACTGGGGCCCTTGCCCCTCTGGTAGCCACCATGGCCTCTGCCCTACCCCTCCTGTGCCATTGCAAGCCTGCCATTTGTTACTGGACTGCCCCCATCAGCAGTCTGTGTTCCAGACACACTGTGTCCCCTTTGCACACTAGAGTTCCTGCCAGCATCAGACCTGTGTGGTATAGAGTAGAGAATGGTCTTCACTAAAGGTTGAAAGGAAAGGTTAGGGAAGGAGAGGAGGCTTTTGTAGCTGGCAGAGAGATTGAGGTGGTTGTGCTCTGTTCACTTTCCCAGATCATCAATACAATGTATGCTGGCTATATGATTTTATACTATCAATTGTGTCATGTAGTTGTATGTAAATTAAATAGGTATTTATTTAAGTTTGGTTTGCTTCTGTGGGGTTAGTGGTTTGAATGGAGGAATTTCGGGAGCTGGTTTAGCTTGGGCACCTAATCTTGATGTGGAACGCTCATAGGATTTGTAGTTCAGAGACCTGATTTCGAATCCCAACATTGCCACTTCTGGACTCCAAGATCTTGATGATTACTTCATTCTCTTTGCCTCATTTTCCTCACCACCAGGTCTCTACCTGGTGTGTTGAAATGGCACTGACAAAGAAACAAAACTCATTTTTTTTCCCGTATCTAAGTTATTAAAATTTGATCTAGTTAAATGATTTTTCCTCTGGCTCTTTGAAATTTTCTCTTTCCCATTGGTAATTTTAGACCTTCAGGAGACTATTTCCTCACAGATGTTTTCACTTGCATTTTTTGTGAACTGAAATTTTGTGTCTGGCTCATATTTCCTAAGCCTTTTTAGACTTTAGGGAATAGTTCTGTCATAAATGGCAGCATGTTAAAATTATATGTTTCTCGATCTCTGAAAGTGCCTAGTACACATGTTCAACACACAACAGGTGCTTAATATTTAAGAGAGTTATGCAATCTTAAACTTAAATGGATCTTCTAGGTCATCACAGGCCTTTTGAGTAAATGTGGTGTTTTAGGTTATTAGAGACAAGTTTCAAATAAAATTGGCTCAGAATTTCAGAACTGTAGCACTCCTCTTCAATACTGTATCTAGTTATCTTTTGCCTACCAGACATTAGTAAATTAACATTTTCTTTCATTCTTTTGCATCATTTTCCTCAGTTCTTCTGTTTTGTAATTAGAGTCATGCATCCCATAACGGCAGACCACATACACGGCAGTGGTACCATAAGATTATAATGGAGCTGAAGAATTCCTATCTGTGTTACAATTGCATACAATATTCAGTATAGTAACAGGCTGTATAGATTTGTAGCCTAGGAGCAATAGGATATACAATACAGCCTGGGTGTGTAGTAGGCTATACTATCTAGGTTTGTGTAAGTACTGTAAACTCTATAATGTTCATACAGTGAAGTAAATCGCTTAGTGATGTGTTTCTCAGAATGTTGCCCCATTGTTAAGCAATGCATGACTGTATCCTCCGAATACTTTAGTAAACTCAAGACATAAGTTTTAAAACACTGAAGTCTTCATTTTGGAAATGAACCTGAAGTTAGAGTTTATAAGTCTCTGAAGCCTTTGAATTTTCTTTGTATTACAATTTCAACCTTTCTTTAAAACATGTTGGAAGCTTGTGATTTAGGATTACTCATAAATCATTCTAGGATATAATCTAGAGTCTTAATGGTATTCCCCTATCTCTATATATATGCTTGAAACTAAGATTGTAACTTTTTCTGATTTCTTTTGTAGACTTAAAACTTATTTTATGGCATATTACAAAGAGCTATTTATGCATAGAAATATGAGAGTTTAATAACCTAATCCCTTTAAGTATTTTACTGTAACTACCTCATCATGGAAGGGCAGTCTTCTCAAATAAGCTATCATGGCCATCTCAAATCTAATAAAATAGAAGATGATAAAAGCAAAAAACCAAACACCAGATGTTCTCACTTATAGGTTGGAATTGAACAATGAGAACACATGGACACAGGAAGGGGAACATCACACTCTGGGGCCTGTTGTGGGGTCGGGGGGAGGGGGGCAGGGATAGCATTAGGAGATATACCTAATGCTAAATGACGAGTTAATGGGTGCAGCACACCAGCATGGCACATGTATACATATGTAACTAACCTGCACATTGTGCACATGTACCCTAAAACTTAAAGTATAATAATAATAAAATTTAAAAAAGGAAAGAATAAAGTAATTTTTTAAATTTCAGTTTATCAAAGAAAAACTTGTTGGGTGTTTATTTGATGTCTGCATAGGCAGTTAACCATAACCTTTGTTCTGTGTTCTATAAATTTAGCAAATTCTAGGCCCTTAACTCTCAGTATGCCAGTAAAGATAGTCATCACCATTTACCATCTGTATCTAGTATCAGGGGAACCTACCCCCGATAATTCAACGTTATTTCACATAGGTTCTTTTGTATTTCCCTAAGTGTCAGCTGGTCTGAGAAATAAAGGGAAAGAGTACAAAAGAGAGAAATTTTAAAGCTGGGTATCCAGGGGAGACATCACGTCAGCAGGTTCCGTGATGCCCCGCAAGCTGCAAAACCAGCAAGTTTTTATTAGTGATCTTCAGAAGGGGAGGGAGTGTATGAATAGGGTGTGGGTCACAGAGATGACATGCTTCACAAGGTAATAAAATATCACAAGGCAAATGGAGGCAGGGCGAGATCACAGGACCCAGGTGAAATTAAAAATGCTAATGAAGTATCATGTCCCACTGGGCACGCATTGTCATTGATAACATCTTATCAGGAGACAGGGTTTGAGAGCAGACAACCAGTCTGACCAAAATTTATTAGGTGGGAATTTCCTCGTCCTAATAAGCCTGGGAGTGCTACGGGAGACTGGGGCTTATTTCATCCCTTATCTCCAACCGTAAAAGACAGACATTCCCAGAGTGGCCATTTCAGAGACCTCCCACTAGGAACGCATTCTCTTTCTCAGGGCTGTTCCTTGCTGAGAAAAGGAATTCAGCGATATTTCTCCTATTCGCTTTTGAAAGAAGAGAAATATGGCTCTGTTCTGCCTGGCTCTCAGGCAGCCAGACCTAATGGTTATCTCCCTTGTTCCCTGAACATCGCTGTTATCCTGTTCTTTTTTCAAGGTGCCCAGATTTCATATTGTTTAAACAATTTGTGCAGTTAACACAATCATCACAGGGTCCTGAGGCGACATACATCCTCAGCTTACGAAGATGACGGGATTAAGAGATTAAAGACAGGCATAGGAAATCACAAGAGTATTGACTGGGGAAGTGATAAAATGTCCATGAAATCTTCACAATTTATGTTCAGAGATTTCAGTAAAGACAGGCATAAGAAATTATAAAAGTATTAATTTGGGGAACTAATAAATGTCCATGAAATCTTCACAATTTATGTTCTTCTGCCATGGCTTCAGCTGGTCCCTCCATTCAGGGTCACTGACTTCCGGCAATAATCCAGTGGACCCTTTTTTAAAAAAAATATTGTACAAATAATTTACAAAAGTAAAAATAAAAGGGTAATTAAAACAACTTGAAATTTTAATAAAAAATTAGACATGACAAACTCAAATTTTTATTCCATATTTTCCTGGTGTTTAAAGGTATATACTACCCAAAATGGGCAGTGTTGTTTGAATGCAACTAACTGCTCATCAGTTGACATGTATTCACCTGGAACATATATCCATCTTATAAATGTTGATTCCAGATCTCAAGTACTGTATGTCTTTAGTTAATTCTAGTGTATTATTTCTGGTGCTTCTTGTTCTTGCATGGTCAAAACACAGTGTTTTAAAAATTTTGGCTGGGCGCAGTAGCTCACCCCTGTAATCTTAGCCCTTTGGGAGGCTGAGGCAGGTGAATCACCTAAGGTCAGGAGTTCAAGACCAGCTTGGCTAACCTGGTGAAACCCCATCGCTACTAAAAATACAAAAATTAGCCAGGCGTGGCGGCAGGTGCCTGTAATCCCAGCTACTTGAGAGGCTGAGGCAGGAGAATCGCTTGAACCTGGGAGGCAGAAGTTGTAGTGAGCTGAGATCACGCCATTACACTCCAGCCTGGGCAACAAGAGCAAGACTCCATCTCAAAAAAAAAAAAAAAAAAAAAACTTTACAGCTTATAATTTTGTTAATAGGATAGCCATCTTTTTTCCTCCATAAAGTGCAAAACACTTATTATTTTTAGATTTATAAACAACAATTAGAAGCTCAATCCAATAATTTTATGTCTACATCATCTCTTCCAGTCACCTTTGTATAGATACTTGTGTTGAGAATATGTCCACTTACATACTATATCAAATAAGTATTGGAACACAGATGTGAAAAAAGAAGGCTGTCAATATTTCTTTTAAAATATGACACTTCTTTTAAAATGAGGCTGGCGATGGTGGCTTACACCTGTAATCCCAGCACTTTGGGAGGCCAATGCAGGAGGATTGCTTGAGGCCAGGAATTCAAGACCAGCCTGGGTGACATAGTGAGACCCCATCTACAAAAAATTTAAAAATTAGCAGGGTGTGGTGGCACAAGCCTCTAGTCCCAGCTACTGAGGAGGCTGAGGTGGGAGAATCACCTGAGCCTGGGAGGTCGAGGCTTCAGAATGAGATGTGGTCCATGCCACTGCACTCCATCTTGGGTGACAGAGCGAGACCCTGTCTCAGAACCCCAAAAACAAAACCCCCACAAAACCCAAAATCATTCAGATTCTTTTTGAAAAATACTACGTGATTCTTACTGAATGACTAACTAGATGAAAATTTCTTTTTTTTTCATGGACACATTCTTTCTCATTGATTCTTGCATTAGAGAAAATGTGTCTATGACTGTCTTCATTTGAAGACACAGAGTCTGATAATTTTGCTTATGCTATCAGCTTTATCAACATTATCATAGTGTAGAATCCCACTGTCTCTTGTATTTATCTTATAATTATGAAATATCTTCCTGTTTTCTTCTCTTTGCCTTTATGAATGTTAAATCAGAAATTCTGGATTTTCAACTGTGCTCTTTAATAGGTGAAAAAAGAAACCCCAAAATGTATAAAGATTTTATCTCCAGATGTCTTTTATACCTTCTTGGAAAGATGAGGAATATTTTGGCCACTGCAGTAAGATAACTAAAGAATGATGAAATAGTGATTTATTTCACTATTGCATCATGCTCGTAGGTCTGTGCTTTTCACTACAGTAGCCACTAACCATGTGTGCCTGTTGAGCCCTTGAAATGTGGAGTAGTCTAAATTTTAAAGACATAGTACCAAAAAAAGAAAAAAAAAAGAATATGAAATACCTTGTTAGTTTTTATATTGGTACTTTACTGAAACGGTACTATTTTGGATATATCAGGTGAAATGTATAATATTAAAACTAATCTCACCTCTATCTTGTTTCCTTTTTTATGTGCCCACTAGAAAATATAATTTGGCCAGGCATGGTGGCTCACACCTATAATCCCAGGATTTTGGGAGGCCAAAGTGGGCATATCATTTGAGCCCAGGAGTTTGCGATCAGCCTGGGCAACATAGGGAGACCTTGTCTCTACAAAAAATACACAAAAATTAGCTGGGCATGGTAGCATGCACCTGTAGTCCAGCTACTCAGGAGGCTGAGGTAGGAAAATCACCTGAGCCCAGGAAATCAAGGCTGCAGTGCACCATGATCGCACCACCGCGACCCTGAAAGAAAGAGAGAGAGAGAGAAGAAAGAAAATATAATAGTAAATGTGGCTTACAATATTTTTTTGTTGGTTATTGCTTCTGTTATTCTTTTGTCTTATTATTTGGATCACTTTTAGCGTTGTTTGGAATAATTGATGAGTAAATATTAAATAGTTGCTAGGATGATAAAATGGCAGAATTTCAACATATCAGAAAAATAAGATCACTGAAACCTTATAATGTATGTGATTCCTAAAGGGATCCAAAGGACCCATATGACAACTGCAAAATAAATTGAGTTTTATTCTATTTTCTTAAAGTAAATTTTCTTCTTCTTCTTTATAATAATTCCAAAAATAAAAGTAATGAAATGTCAATGCTTACACATAGACAGAATTTCTCAAAAAGCTAAAATTGGGTTGAGCAAACCCTGATGGTATATTAACAGTTAAATATTTTACCCTTTGCGGTTTGCCAGCTTTAGATTAGGAGCTTTTCTTGGCACCATTTTTAGGAACTATTCTAAGTGCCTAAATTCATCTTGGCAGCACTGGGTTCTTTGTGTGTTACCAGTAAGAGAGATAAAAGGCTTAGTATAAAATCATTTATCAGCCTACAGGCTGCATGGCACATCTTATGATACTCAGGCTGTATTAGCCACCGTATGATATGTGCTTTTAACTCTCAGATTTGAGAATTTGCTTATCTGAAATGTAAGAATTAATACCTCATACGTAACCTAACATCTTTTTTTGTTTCCTTGTAGACTTTTGTGAATGATGTAAGGATTCCGGAACAGACTTATATCACCTTGAAACTTGAAGATAAGCTGAGATTTGGATATGATATCCTTAAATGGTTTTATGTACTTATTAAATTTATTCAAATATGTTTACTCTGGTTTAAGTTAACATTTTTAAAACACAATTCACAATATAGATATGCCAGAATTTCTATTTATTGGGTGCATTCCTATACTAAAATACATATATATTTTTAGTTATTATGCCTGTTCCTAAAAGTAATCATGGAAAAGTTGGTGGACTCAGCTTTTTTTTTCCCTCTCTCTCTCTATTTATGTAGTTTCAGCATCAGTCTCACTGAAGTGCTATTGCATATATAATTTGAGCATCAAAGAATGTAACTGGGGAGAGGACAGGGGAATGTTTAATTTTAGTCCAGCCTAGGGATTGCTTTCAGGTGGAACATGATGCATGAATCAGCCTCCTGGGATGAATGTAAGAATTTAAACCTACTTTTCCTTCCATCCCTCCCGTTAACTGTTTTATGCATCACAGCTATATTGCCTATTAAATTCAAACTTTTCAATATCCTGTGTCTTCTAAGACCTACGCTCTCTGATTAATCCACATTATGCATTTAGTGTGTATTTAAAATTCTTATGTTTAAAATTAGGAATCTAATAATTGAACAAGGACATGACTGTATTAAACTGCATGGGGCAGCGTGAAGAATCTCTAGTGAAGGGAAGGAGCATGATTGCAGAAGAAGAAAGACATTTCCATTCATAGTAGGCAAGAAGCTTTGTAAAAAGGATTTATGTACATTTAATTAAAATACAGCTATTCCACATAATGCTGAAGGTTGTTTTTTTTTTTTTTGAGTTTTAGTTTTTTTGAATTACTACTTTTATTGGGACTTTGGTAATAAAGAATGTATTAAGCATAGCAATTTGGATGGACTTTTGTCACCGTAGCAGAAAAAGCATAGTCTCAGCTAAATAGAGTAGATGCTTAAAGTAAATGTATTAACACTATAAAATTGTTCCTTGACATTTACGAGAAATAGTCCAGGTGCTGTGGCTCACACCTGTAATCCCAGCACTTCGGGAGGCTGAGGTGGGCAGGTCACGAGGTCAGGAGTTCGAGACCAGCCTGACCAATGTGGTGAAACCCCGTCTCTACTAAAAATACAAAAAAATGTTTTAAATAACCAGTCATGGTGGCACGCATCTGTAATCCCAGCTACTCCAGAGGCTGAGGCAGGAGAATCGCTTGAACCCAGGAGGCAGAGGTTGCAGTGAGCCAAGATCACACTACTGCACTGTAGCCTGGCAACAGAGAGAGACTCCATCTCAAAAAAAAAAAAAAAAAAAAAAAAATTACGAAAAATAATATTACAATTTTTTAAATTTTAAATCTAAAATTAAAGTTTTGTAGCATACTTTATAATGTTCACACTTGCAGAGCCAAAGGAATATACAAAAAGCCAAACCATTAAATAGTAATACTTGTATATATTTTAAGTCTTTAAAAAAAATGCTTCATGCAAAATAATTAAGAATTAGCATTAAAGCCTTAATGAATGGGTGTCATTTTCTACCAGCCTAAGTTTCATCAAGAACAAATACAAGTATATTTTGAATTTAGATACCTCCTTTAATCCATTTGGCATCAACTGTTTCAAATCATGAGAAAAATACTAGGAAATTTAAGTTTTAGTAAAACTCTGTCAAGTTAACTTTGAATTTTATATCAAGAAGAAACTATTGAGAAAAAAACCTCATGCTTTTACACAATAGTATACTATTTTCTTAACAGCAAACAGACATTTTTCTCTTACGTACCAGCTCATAATATGTCTGTCTAAAATTGTTGGGACGGATGTTTTGTCCCAAAGACTTTCTCAGAGTTGTGCACTTAGTGTTGAGCCATAACTACTGTCTGGATGCCCAGAGGAGGCACATATAATTTTATTATTTTAAAATAGCATCTGTTAGCCAGCCACGGTGGCTCATGCCTGTAATCCCAGCACGTGGGGAGGCTGAGGCAGGCGGATCATGAGGTCAGGAGATTGAGACCATCCTGGCTAACACAGTGAAACCCCATCTCTACTAAAAATACAAAAAAATTAGCCAGGCATGGTGGCGGGCGCCTGTACTCCCAGCAACTCAGGAGGCTCCTACCTCCCACCTCAGTAGGAGAATGGTGTGAACCCGGGAGGCGGAGCTTGCAGTGAGCCGAGATCGTGCCACTGTACTCCAGCCTGGGCAACAGAGCCAGACTCCGTCTCAAAAAAAAAAAACCATCTGTTATAGTGGCAGAAATTATATTATATACGTAATTTTAAAAGCAGGTTTTATATATTTACTTGTTTCTGTATTTAGCTATGCTAGATTGAAGACATTTTTGTACTTTATTCTAATTAAAATTAATCTTAATAGGCAGTCTATAAACTGCTATACTTTGGAGAGGAAAACTATTTTGATTAAAAAGCTACAGCAGGCTGGGCGCAGTGGCTCACACCTGTAATCCCAGCACTTTGGGAGGCCAAAGTGGGCAGATCAGTTGAGGTCAGGAGTTCAAGACCAGCCTGGCCAACATGGCGAAATCTCATCTCTACCAAAAAATACAAAAACTAGCCTGGCATGGTGGCAGGTACATGTAATCCCAGCTACTCAGGAGGCTGAGGCAGGGAGAATTGTTTGAACCTGGGAGGCGGAGGTTGCAGTGAGCCAAGATCGTGCCACTGCACTCCAGCCTGGGTGACAGAGCAAGACTCCGTCTAAAATAAATAAATAAATGAAATAAAATAAAATGCTACATCAATAGAAGGAGCAATTTAACATGGATCAAGACTAGAATTAGGCAACATAAGTCTTTTTTGTAACTGGAGAAATAAGTGATTTGGAAAAGCACATACTCAGTGAAATATACAAGCTTTTAAAATGACCGTAAACTCATAAGGAGTACTAAAATGCTGCAGTAATCAAGAAAAACTTCAAAAAGTGGTAATAAATCTTCAGGTAGCCAAAAATGAGGCTGATAAGGAAAAGTTTATTCATTTCCTAATTATTTATTAAATGTCTCCTATGTGCCAGGCATAGTCCCAGTGGTTTGGGAAATATAACTGTGAATAAAATAGATCATAATCACTGTTCTCCTGTAGCCTACACTTTAGTGGGGTTGAAGGGACTGACAGCACACACTAGAAGTGAGGGTATTAGAGGATGGTAAGTTCTATGGAAAAAAGTGAAAGTGGGAGGCAGAGAGCTAGTGTTGGTAAGTGGGAAGTTAGAGTTTTAAAAAGAATATTCACGAAGACCTCAATGAGAAGCCAGCACTGGGGCAAAGATGTGGAGAAAGTAAAGAAGTTAGCCATATGGATATATGGAGATATTGTCCTGCAGACAGATGAGGGTATAGTACAAAGGACTTGAAGCAGAGACATGTTTGACATATTGGAGGAATAGCATTTAAAAGCCAGTGTGGTTGGAGCCAGCAAAGAACATGAGTATATTAGGAGTCAGAATATATCAGTTCTCGTAGGACATTATAAGGATTTTGACTTTTATTCTGAGTGAAATGGGTAGTCTTTGGAGGCGTTTTTGTTTTTGTTTTTTTTTAATCGGAGTGATAAATGACATACATCTAAAAAGATCCTCTGGCTACTCTTGTTCAAAGAAAACTAAGGGTGGAGTGGGCAGGGGTATGAAAAGAGAGACCAGTTAGGAGGCTATTGCAGTAGTTCAGGTGAACGGTAAAGGAGGTTTGGACCAGGGTGATATATCTGGAAGTAGAAATGAAAGGATTCTGTGTATATTTTGAAGATGTAGCCAATAAAGTTTTCTGATTAGACTGGATGTAGAGTAAGAGAAAGAGTCAAGGATGAACCAGAATTTAGGCCTGAGCAATATGAAAAAGGAAGGCATCCTTTTAATAACTGATAGAGAATTCTGTAGGTAGAGCAAGTTTTGTGGAGAAAATGGGAAGAATCATCTCAAAATACTAGCTTTAGACTTAACCAAGTTTTCACATTTTTCTGTTTTCTATTTGATTTCTGTTACCTTTATTCTAAACTTTTTTCTAGGTAGGAGCTGAGGTCATTCAGTTGAGACCTTTCTTTTCTAATACTGGTGTTTAGAGCTATAAATTTTCCCCCAATTACTACTTTAATGTTTCTAATTTCCTTTTTTATTTTCTTCTTTGAGTCACAGATTATAAGTTTGTTTAGTTTCCAGATATTTGGGGAGTTTTCCAGATATATTTCTGTTACTGATTTCTAATTCCATTTTGCTCAGAGAACATACTTTGTATGTCTCAAATCCTTTTCAATTTATTGAGACTTGTTCTGTGGCCCAGAATATGTTCTATCTTGGTAAATGTTCCATATGTACCTAAAAAGGATATGCGTTCTGCTATTTGGGGGTTGGAATGTTCTATAAATGTTAGTTAGGCCAGGTTGGCTTGGTGGGTGTTCAGGTCTGCTGTATTTTACTGATTTATTGTCTTCTTACTCTTTCAATTATTAAGAAAGGGGTATTGAAATCTCAGGCTATAATTATGGGTTCGCCCCCTCCTCCTTGCAGAACTTTTTGCTTTGTCATTTGCAGCTCTTTTATTAGTTGCATAGACAACCTGGATTATTATGCTATCTTGATGAATTATCCCCCTCTATCATTATGCAATGACCTGCTTTATCCATAATAAGATTCTTTGCTCTGAAATCTAGTTTGTCTTAATATTATAGTTGTTCCAGCTTTCTGTTGTCTACTTATATTTTTAATTTTTACCCTGTTTGTCTTTACCTGTAAAGTAGGCAGCATATAGTTGTTCTTACTTTTTTATCTGATACGATAATTTTTACTTTTATTTGGTGATGTAGGCCATTCACATTTATTGTGATAATTGATGTGGTTAGTTTTAAATCTATCATCTTGAAATTTGTGTCCTGTTTGACCCATTAGTTTTATGTTTTCTCTTTCCCTGTTTCTGATTTCATTTGAGTTATCTGAATAGTTTTTATTATTTCATTTTATCTCCTTTGTTGGCTTATTTGCCGTAATTTTTTGTTGTTGTTTTAGTGGTACCTTTAGGACTTATAATTTGTCTTTAATTTCAAGTTTTATCTTCAAGTAACATTATACCACTTTACATATTGTACAAGAACATTACAACAGTATACTTTCGTCTTGACCTTTGTGCTATGATGTCATGTATTTTATTTTTATGTGTGTCACAAACCCCATACTACATTGTTATTAGTAAAAAGTCAATTGTCATTTAAAGAGGTTTAAATAATTTTTAAAATCTTAAAATACATATTTTAAAATACATATTTTTATACCCATTGTACTTATGTCTGAAACCCACGAACCTTCCATTTCTGGTATTCTTCATCCCTTTGTACAGATCCATATTTTCACATAATGTCAGTTTGTTTCTACCTGATGGACTTCCTTCAACATTTCTTGTACTATGGCTTTGCTGGTGATGAATTCTGTCAGCTTTTATATGTCTAGAAAAGTATTTCATCTTAGTTATTGAAAGATAATATTGGCCGGGCATGGTGGCCCACGCCTATAATCCCAGCACTTTGGGAGGCTGAAGGCAAGCGGATCATGAAGTTGGGAGTTTGAGATCAGCCTCGCAAACATGGGGAAACCCTGTCTCTATTAAAAATACAAAAATTAGCTGGGCGTGGTGGCACACACCTGTAATCCCAGCTACTCCGGATGCTGAGGCAGGAGAATCTCTTGAACCCAGAAGGCGGAGGTTGCAATGAGCCAAGATCGTACCTCTGCACTCCAGCCTGGGCAAAAGAGAGACTCCATCTCAAAAAAGAAAAAAAGTTACTGTTGCTGGGGATAGAATTCGAAATTGGCTTTTTCTTATTTTTAGCACTTTAAAGATGTTGCTCCACTGTATTCTCACATTATTTTCCTTTGTCCCTGGCTTTGAACTGTTTGATTATGATGTGTCTTGGTGTAGCTTTCTTCTTCTTTCTTTTTTCTTCCTTCTTTCTTCTTTCTTTTTTCTTCCTTCTTTCTTCTTCTTTCTTTTTGTTTGTTGTTTTTTTGTTCCTCCCTTGGGGTTTGTTGACCTTCTAAAATCCTGTGGCTTTATAGTTTCAATCCAATTTGGAAAAAATCTCCATTATTTATTTTAAAATTTGTTTATCTCTTCTGGGTTGATTTCCATTGATTAATTTTTACACTCATAGTAATTTTTTATTAGATGGCAGGCATTGTGAATTTTACTTTGCTGAGTGTTATGCATATTTTAGTATTTATATAAGTATTTTTGAGCATTCTTCTGGAATACAAGTTACTTGGAAACAGTTTTATCACTTTGAGTCTTTCCTTTAAGATTTGTTAGGCTTCTAAGATTGTTCTGGGCTAATTATTCCCAACTACTGAGGCAAGACCTTTCTGTATGTTCTACTGTGGGGGGTCAGTAAACTCATTGACCAAATCTGGTCCTCAGGCTGTTTTGTTGGAACATCGCTATGCCCAATCTATTAACATATTTCTGTGGCCACTTTTGCTCTACCGCTGCAGAGTTGAGTAGCTGAAGCAGAGATCACGTGGCCTGAAAAACCTGAAAGATTTACTATCTGGCCCTTTACAGAAAAAGTTTGCTGACTTGTGCTCTACCCAGTGACTCATGAATCATGCATGAGGTTTTACAGTCTAGCTGTTGAGAGTAGGTACTATTCCTGGCCCTATGTGTGGGCACTGGGTACTATTATCTCTAATATTTTCCAGAGACTGAAAATCTCTGGAATTCTCTTTCTGTGCAGGCTTGTCTTCAGTACTCAGTCCTGGGAATTCCAGTAATGTTGATTTGCTTGGACTCTTGACTTCATTTCCATCACAACTCAGGGAGTCTGCCAGGCTCTGTCTGGATTATTCTTCCTCACAGTGTGACCTAGAAACTTTCACAGGGCAGTGAGTTGGGGCAGTGATTGGACTCTTGCTTTGTTGCCCTTCTCTGGGAGATCATTGTCTTTTGTTGCCTGATGCCAATTGTCTTGTAAAACATTGTATCATGTGTTTTACCCATCTTTTAGTTGTTTAATGTAGGAGAATAAATCCAATTCTTTTTACTCCATCTTATCCAGAAGATTGAGAAGTTGATTTGGGGCATGTTGAATGTAAAGTTGAATCCAGGGGTGAAGTAGAAGCTAAAGATATGAATGTGGGGATTTTTATTATATAAATAATATTTAAAACCATAAGACTGAATGAGATCATTAAGGGAATGAATATAGATTGATAAGAGGTTCAAGGACTGACACCTGGTACATTCCAATATTAAGAGATGGGTGAGATTAGGAACCAGTAAAAGAGACTAAGGAGAAACCACTAATGTGCTAGGAGGAAAAGCAGAGTATAGTATGGTTTCCACATTTTGTGGGAAATTATTTACACATTACTTAAATATCTTGAATCACAAGATCCACCCGCCAATCATTTTAATCATGTAAGTCATCATAAGTAAGAACCCAGTACCTTCTATTTTAAAATTGTGATTTATGTATTTTCCCAAAGAAGTTGTATATTCCTGCATAATGGCCCACAAAATGATTGGGTTAGTCATATTAGAAACCAGGTTAAAGAAAACTCCAATACATCATATCATAGCATCTAAAACTATAATTAATCTGTACTTCCAGCACTATATATACCACTGTTTGGTAGGCTGTCAAGATAACGGCTGCTGAATGATCAAGGGGAAGTTAAATGTAAGCAAAAATTAAGAACTTTCATTCAGAGAAGTTAAGATTTTTCCTTATCTATGTGGTTGATATCCATAACAAAACATGAGCATATTAATATTTTTCAAATTTCAAAAATAGAGGACATTTCTCAAAGCTTAAAAGAACTAAATTTTAAAAATTAATGGAAATGAGCTTTTTTGGATGAAAAAATGAAGTGATAGAGAAGTTTAAATCAGTTGTTTGAAAACTATGTTTTTAAAGAACAGGATCTTCTACAAGTTGGAAAGATAATCATCTCCTAAAATAAAATGATACCTTTTTTTGAAGGTATAGGCAAAATTAAGCAGATAGATAAAATTTTCCCCTTAGAAAGTTTCCTGCTGTTAACTTTCTTTTAAACCCTTATTGTCTCCTAGGACCTACCTTACTAATTCTCTGTGGACTCTAATTTATCATAATTGTATGTTTTATTATCAATTGTTGTTAAATGAGGGAAAATTTCCATATTTGTAATGAAAAGGAAACATTTTTGGGTAACCTTAAGAATTTCTAGGGATAGCCTTATTATATGTTTTTTTAAATCACATGTATGAAATATATTAATTTTGAAAAATATGTTTTTCTGATCTTTCCTTGTATGAAATAATTTTATTCAGGTTTTCTTAATTATCTGACATGATTTTTGAAAGATATGTTTACAGTGATATCTGACACTTCATATTTTAGGTCATACCCCTTGGAATAACTAACGCTGTTTAAAGTTTCGCTCTGTTTTTTATTTTGTCATTAAAATAAAAGAGTGGGAGGAACCGTATCTAAGAACACATTACTAGTATTCAGGGGAGTTTCCACAGTCCTACTTTTAGATAAACATTTCTTGAATAAATTGACTTAGGTCAGTACAGGGGGATGGCTTAGAATAGCAATCATAGTTTTATATAAAGAAGTGGAGAAATAACCTGTCAAATTATGATTTTTTAATAAGCAAGAATTCAAACTTTTTATAACTTACTGATATCATGCGTTATTCTACCTCTGTTTGTCATTTTTCTTGATTAGCAAGTTAAAAATAGCTACATAGGCCTGCACCACTAAGAAGATGGTAGCCTTGGAGGGAAAAGCTGGGGCTAGAGCAGTCTCCAGATCTCACAGTTACACCAGAGTTCCCAGATGAATTAATGACCCAAACAAGAGGCTTCTTGAGGTCTTCTTCGTTTCCACACACACAAACATTTTTGGAAGGTAAAATGTTTGAACCTGAGAAGGATGGCTCCTCTCAAGCTCTCCATGACCTGAAGAGTGTCTAGGTTTAAAGAGGATACCCCAGACGAGCCCTGGGAAGTTGCCTTCAGGCACTCCCAGGAGGTAAGCTTGAAGCACCCGAAAACCCTCACAACAGGCTGAAATCACTTGTGTTTTCCATGGAAAAAATGGTAATGACTGTCCATTTTTAATGCCTTTTTTCATAGAAAAAGTAGGAATGCTATGAATTTTCTCTAGCTGTTTATGAGTTTTTTGCGGATAAAACAAAGTTACTAGACAGTATTATTATTATATTTAAAGCAAAGTTTTTACCATAATATTGCTTCAGGGAACTCACATCTGTAACCACATCAGATAGAAAGCAATTTTCAGAAAAGAATGAAAAACTTCAATAATATCTGCAGTAGTCATGCCCTAGTGTTTTTCTATATTATATATATGTGTTTATATAATTCATATTATATAAATATGCGAATGTATGTATACTTATTAAATTCTAGGTTTTTTCTTATAATAGCTTAATCACATTTTTTGTCTTTTTAAAGAAATTTCAATAGCTTTAGGGATACAAGTGATTTTTTGGATACATGGATGAATTGTGCAAGGGTGAAGTCTGGGATTTTAGTGTACCCACCACCTGAGTAGTATACACTGTACCTCAATAGGTAGTTTTTCATCCCTCACCCCGCCTTCCGGCTTCCCCACTTCTGATTATCCAGTGTTCATTATACCACTCTGTATGCCTTTGTGTACCCATAGCTTAGGTCCCACTTGGAAGTGAGGACATGTGGTATTTGGGTTTTTGATTCCTGAGTTACTTTACTTAGAGTAATAGCCTTCAGTTCCATACAAGTTGCTGCAAAAGACACTATTTCATTCTTTTTTATGGCTGAGTAGTATTCCATGGTGTATATATACCACATTTTCTTAAACCACTTATCAGTTGATGGGCATTTAGATTGATTCCATATGTTTGCAATTTAGACATTATCTTTTATTAAATATACTTAGTTATGAGATGTGTATTTCCATATGTACCAGCAAATATATACCAGTGTATGAATGTGACAAAAAGGAAAATTTTAATATTTCAAAGCTATAGGAAAAAGCAATGTAGATTAATAGGAGAGCCCTGGCCTGGGATTCAGTTGACTAGACTCTTGTTTTGGTTTCTGTCCGTCCATTACCCAGGTTCTTTATTTATGAAACAGGAGGGACTAATGGAATTGAACAGAATATTTCCCAAAACTCTTCATATTTACAATTCTGAATTTTTATTATTTTAACAAGTAGAAACCTAGAATAAATACTCACAAGTTTCCTACTTCCCTTATGCTTGGGAAGTCATCTTTTTCCCCCAAGTAGTCATGATAGTTACAGCTTTCTACCCTCGAAGTCATGAGTGCTCTGAACTGGTAAGGAATAGAATTTAGTACATGGTTATAAAAGTCCTCTCATTACAGAGTTAAGTAATGGTGGGAAATGTGACCTCTACTCTTTAGTGAATAGATCTTTTTAATATACAGAGGCAGTGTTCTTTTTGGTTTAATAATGAAGGCATTCATTGTATCTAGCACTTGGTTCTAATCTCATCTTGGTATAGTATCCATTGTTTGATAATGTAATACGACCTTGATTGCAATTCATGGGGAACAGTCATGGTTGTGGTTGCTGTAAGGACCCTAATTATAGCATTTCTTTTGCACTTGCAAAATGAACTTCATTTTTATCAATGCTTATGAAGTTTGAGTAATCAAATTCTTTTAGGAATTGCTGTTGGTTAATCATTGATGAGATATTTCCTTACATTTTTGTGATTAGCTCTCAATATAATTTGATGCATGTACTTTTTCTTTGTAGTTATCTCATATTATTGTTAGTGAAAATTGAAAATGTCTCTGTGCTCTGATAAATTACCCAGTTGTTTGCTTCTTGAGGGCCACCATTACTTAAAATTAGAAAACTTGCTGGATCTTAAGATTTTTAGTATTTTAAAATGAAAATGTTTACATTGGTGACCATATTTTAATATTTAACTATTCAGGGGAAATATAATAATTCTGCTGTAGTTACCTGTTGAAATAGAACAATTTCTAAATTACATTTGATGACGATTTTTAGCTCAATTATCAGAAATTTGAGGTTATATTCTTCCTTAGCCCCGTTTACATACAAATCTTTTCACTGTAGTACAAGGAGAAATGAGGGTCCCTGAAGAAGCTCTTAAGGTAACAGTTTTTACTTAACTTCTTTTGCAAATCTACTCTTCACTATGGTTGATTTTACTTCTTGATGTTTCACTTCCATTTTTAAATGTTTTATAGCATGAGAAGTTTACCATTCAGCTTCAGTTGTCCCAAAAATCTTCAGAATCAGAATTATCCAAATCTGCAAGTGCCAAAAGCATAGATTCAAAGGTAGCAGACGCTGCTACTGAAGTGCAGCACAAAACTACTGAAGCACTGAAATCCGAGGAAAAAGCCATGGGTAAGCTGGCCTCTCTCGAAAGACCATCTTTATACTTGATCTTGAAGACACTGCATGCTTTGTTCTCAGAAAGTTGGCTATGTCCATATAAAAATAATTTATAATAGTGATAATTTCAGAGTGTGTTTTAATGCTACCAGTGCTTTCATTAGGAAACATTATAAAACACATAATTATATATAGCAGTTATATATAGGTGTGCTTAATATGTTTAAATGTTTAAGAGAAGTAAATATGGTCATCCTTCAGTATCCGTGGGGGACTGGTTTCAGGACTCCCATGAATACCAGAATTCACGATGCTCAAGTTCCTTATGTAAAATGGCATAGTATTTGCACATAACTTGAACACATCCTCCTGTATACTTTAAATCATCTCTAGATCACTTATAATACCTAATACAATGCATACACCTCACTTCATTTGTTTAATAGTACTTGGCATAAGGCAAATTTAAGTCTTGCATTTTGGAATGTAGTGGAATTTTTTCCCCCAAAACATTTTTCATCTGCAGCTAATTGAACCCATGGATGCAGAACCTACAGATTCAGAGGGTTAACTGTGTAGTTTACCTTATAATATTTTTATTATTTCATGTTTGTCTGCATTTTCTTCTGCAGCATAACAACGAAAACGAATTAAAAGAAAAATTTTTTAAATCAAATGTGGCTGTATCACCATATAATAATTTACAATTCTAGGCACGTTATAAAATGCCTTACATAAATAATCCCATTCAAACAGAAACAAGTTTTTAAATGAATAGGCATTACTACATTTGCTCAAACAAAAAAATGTTAGTTCTGTTAAGAACTAGTTTTTGTGTCCTTGGGCTGGAAAAAAATTGGAAAATAGCTACTCATGTGAAAATTTACTTTAGCTTTGTCTTTTACATTTAGTCTTAATGAGCCATTTCTGATCAGACTGGTTTTGTTCTTCCCTAGTTGATTATTGTCTAGTTTCAACAAACTTGTTCTTCTGAGGTCACTTTCTGTCTAAATTCAAGTAAAATGCCATTTGTTACAAGCAGTTCAGTTATATAGCAAACAACTCATAACACCTTAACAAAAAGCTATTGAGATATGTAGCACGTTGTGTTACTTAGATACCACCCAGTGGAAATCTTATTTATTTAGTCATGTCCAACATTGT
This sequence comes from Homo sapiens, assembly GCF_000001405.40. Classification (NCBI taxonomy): domain Eukaryota; kingdom Metazoa; phylum Chordata; class Mammalia; order Primates; family Hominidae; genus Homo; species Homo sapiens. The sequence continues at coordinate 211,473 of NT_187519.1, read as the reverse complement.
ATAAGATCTTCCACAAATACCGAGTTAATTCAGTATAGAGTACATTTTAGCTATCAAGACTATACTTTGCTTTTTAATTTAATTAATCAAGCAGGCAGTTCTAGCATTCTGCGAAAGTGTATTCTTTTCTGTTTCATCTGCTTTAGACAGATTTTTCCCACCTCTTTCCAGATATTTCTGCTATGCCCCGTGGTACTCCATTATATGGGCAGCCGTCATGGTGGGGGGATGATGAGGTGGATGAAAAAAGAGCTTTCAAGACAAATGGCAAACCTGAAGAAAAAAACCATGAAGCTGGAACATCAGGTAAAAAAATCTCAGTCACTGTGACATTAAGTGGATATTTTGGGAAGTATCTGTAATCTAAGCAAACAGCTGTCTACCATGAAAAGAGATGATCTAGTATTCTATACTTTGATTTTTTAAAATTGATGAATGTTTTAATGGCCTTGTTATTTTAATGTAAAATTTAAAATTATGTGTGATTATAAGTAAAGTATTAATTTTAATATCTTTATAAAGCACTTCTATTTAAAATATTTTTTACAGTTTAAAGGAGATGTTAAGATTTGGAAAGTAGATTAATGATATAACTAGGCATTTTAAGTTTATAAAAATAATTATTAAAATATATCAATTAGACCAAAATTGTAGGCATTAATTTTGCGTTTTTATTAGATCCCCAGAATATAATCATATTTTTAAAATAAATTAATTTATTCTTTGAGATGGGATCACACTGTGTTGCCCAGGCTAGTCTTGAACTCCTGGACTCAAGCCATCTTCCCACTTCAGCCTCCCGAGGAGCTGAGATTATGGCACACACCATCTCATGTCCAGCTTAATCATATTTTTAAATGAACATTTCCCACTTTGTTCAGAAATGTGATATGAAATTACAAATTCTTCAAAACCTCAGTGTGCTCATTGTAATGAGAAATGGCAGCAACAAGATTAGTTGAGTTTGGCAGCCAGAATGAAAAAATAGTTCTGGGTCAGATTCTCAGATTAATAGTCAAGGAACACATTTTTGATATTTCTGATATTGTTAATGGAGTGGTTCAGTCCGTAAACCAGAAAATCAAGACTTCCAGGAAATGAATGGAGGTGTCAGTTGCCACATAAGGACCTTGCAAAGACATGAGAACAGAAAGATGGAGCAGCCAGTTTTTGAGATAACAGCAGACAAGGATCCAGAACTGGAGGAATTAAGTACAGGCACCTGGGCTCAGTATGGAAGACTAAGTCTGGCTCTGAACCAAGGATAAATTCCATGAGAACTCTTCTCACTTTTCTACTTTTCACCCTAATTCTACAAGATAAATAGGACATTTTTCTTAGCTGGACAATAAGAACATTGGTTCTTTAGGTATGCTCTAATGGATACAAGTCTAGAAAAGCGAGCGTTATCAACTTCATCTTACAGTGCCCAAGGCTGAACTTGTCAACTTTGCAAATAAATTCCCATCCCAGCTTTATTGTTTCTGTCACCAGCAGTTTTCTTCATGCCCATGCACAGAAACAGTATTACTTAGCACGCTTTCAGATGTAAATAACAAATGCTGCCTGAGACTAAACAGGGAAGAAATTTACTGGCTCACATAACTGAACCCCATGAGGGTTGTTTACTTCAGCATCTCAACAATGTCGTCATCAGCTAGCTAGCTTCTCTCCGTCTCTCAGTCTTGCTCTTCATAGTGGTTGCAGACTGAGGAGTTTACCCTCACTCTCATAGGCTGCCTGCCAGTAGCAGGAAGGGGTACATGCTACTTTGATCACATCCAACAGGAAAGCGAAAACGTTACTTCCGGAAGACCTTCCAGAATTTGGAAGAACTTTGCCAAAAGTTCTTAACATCTCTCATCTCATTGGCCTCTCACAGGTTCAGGAGAGGGTCACCTGCTTATTTCTGAACCAATCCCTGGCAAGGCAAGTTAGATTATCCTTAAACCAGTCTTGCTCACCTTGAAGCTGTGTGTGATGTTAGTTTTCCCCTAAGCCACATGATCTATGTCAGGAAAGAGTGGATGCCAGAGATTTTTGGAGTCCTTTGAGGAGGAAAGAACAGGGAAAGGATATTGAAAGAAAACCAAGGATGTCTGCTTTATTTGTAAATTTTGAGTGTTCCCTTCCCTTCACCTTGTCTGTCTAATCCTTAGGTCTGTTGCCTTTCCCCACGCTGCCCGCCGTCCTGAGTCATGATTGGGCTACCAACCTGGTTTCAACCCTCCTGCAGTTTATTTTGTATAACACATCTAAACTGATCTTTATTTTCTTTGTTCAAGAAACTACAATGACTGTCTTTTGCCTGCCAAATAGATTTTTAAACTAAGTTGTTCATGTCAGAGTTTTCTAATTTTGTCCCAGTTTCCATGGTCAGCCTTACGTCCCATTACCAGTTGTTTGAGTGGTCTCTCCCAATGCATCCCCCATAAATTATGCTAATTCCTGCCTGCTCTTTTCCCACAGACATAAATACACACATACATTAAATGACAAAGAGATACATTCTAAATGATGTCTGTATATTTATCGTCAGTACGTTACAGTTTCATTCATTATGTTGTGTGTGTGCCTCCTCCCCACAGCTAAACTATACATGTCTTATTCAAGTACCGCATAATATACTATCACTGTGCCCTAGAGCCACCTAGTACTGAGAGGGGGAAAGATTTACCAATTAGGTGATTAAGAAAACATAGCTGAATATAATTATCACCAAACTCTGAAAATCAGTATGATAGTAATTTTTATCTTGCCGTTAAAATTTTAGCCCTCCCCTGTCACACACAAAACAGCTTTTGAAATCTGAAGCGCGTAACTTCTAACATACAGTGAAGTGTATATGTAATTTTTGTACAGAAGGCACAACCATGATTTACAGTAATAGCTAACACTTCAGTAGGGTTTACTTTATCCAACATTCTTCTGAGTGCTTTGTATGCATTTATTTAATCATCACAGCAATACCTAAAGGTACAGTTACGGTGATTTTGTAGATAAAGAAACTGAGGCATACTGAAATTAATTTACTTGTCAAAGTCACCCAACTACAAATAATGGAGCTGGGATTTGAACTTAGATTGCCTGACTCCTGAGTCCACGCTCTTAACCATAAGAAGTTTTAATATTTCAGCCATCATTACTCTTGTAAACACAATCACTCTAAAAGGATATACTTCATAGGGTACAAAGATTTAAACAAATACTCCAAAATCAAATAGCCATAAAAATTGATCCCTCCTAGCTCAGCATAATAAAATAAATTTCAAATGTGAAGCATCCAGCAATACTTTCATCTATATGAATGTAACTGAATTCTCAGCTTGTGTACTCTTTCTGCTAGATGACCAAAAGCCGTCTCATGATCTTGGGGTTCTTTTTGAGTAATAATTCAGTGATTTATGTCTTGTGTCAAATTCCTTAAAGTGCCCTGTCAGATACAGCTGATTAGTAATAGCCTTAAGAGACTCTCACTTGCTTTCTTATGTTAGTATGAGGATATTACTGTTTCAGATTTATCATTTGCAGCTTTTTAAAATATAGGATGAGGAAAATAGTTTACTGTCTTGTAATAATTTATGAAGCCAGCAGAAATTGTAGAATCAGATTTGAAATGTATATCAAGTGTTCTTTAATGTGGTCATTTTGAAATTAAGGTATTTTTAAAAACTTAAACTTTTTTTTTAAGTTTCAAATTGTGGAATATACGTGATTAGTTTAATAATTTATCCTGTAGCATACTCTTAGTGAAAGCAAAAAGTGATTTGCTTCTTCGTTATTAATTTTTAGAGTTGCATTCCAGAAAGGATAATAGAGTGTTTGCTACCTAGTAATTTTTAACGTTCCTCTCTGTGGGTTCATATATATCCAGAAACTCCCGAAGACTTGCCATATAGCTTAAAAAGCCCTGGTTTAAGCAAATACTTACTTTAGAGCAATTTCGTTCTCCAGAAATTGTGTGACTATTTTTAATCGTATTAAGACGTAAAGTTTGTCCTCAATTTATTTACAGCTATGCTTTTCTACCTCCTAACTTGGTCTCAACAATTAATTTAGGTTATAATTAAAGGCCTTTAACTGTTGCACACATTTTGAAATGGCATGTGCAACTGGGAATCATAGATTTTTGGCTCTCTCATGTTGATTTTTAATCCAGCGAAACTAAATTTGGAAATTTTCAAGTCGTAGCTCCTTTTAAGCAAAAGGAGCTTCCCAGTCTTCTTAATTTGACATGCTTGAACAGACTAGGTTAGATGGATGTCTTAAGCAGAATGAGCTGTTATAATTATAGTCCTTGTCATCTCAAATAAGTTTAATATTTCATTGAATTTAGTACAGAAGAATGAAAAGAACATTTATTCTGGATGAAGTATAAGTATCCCTTATAACATATTGTGTTAAGGTAACACAGTCATAAAATACCTTAAGAACATAAGCAGATTATCACCAATTGCTTTTCTGATTGAGATATATGGAATTAATTATGGCATAATCAATCATTAAATAATTTTTTAAAATCTAGTAATTGAGATTAATAATATAATATTAGTCTAAACAAGTATTTACTCTATTATTTAGTTTCATTTGGTATAACAAAATGAGTTTTGAAGATAGATGAATGTTAAATTTCTAAATTCCAGAATATGTTCTGTTAGTGTTCTGAGGGAGGAAAGGTGTTTTATTTTTCTGTGTTGATTAGAAGACCCCTTATAGTTTTCTATTAGGTACTTCTCAAGTGTAGTTGGACCACACTTCATCTGTTTTTATCATCTTTAGGGAAATGAATCCTTCCACATAATGAATTTTCCAGATGATTGAACTTTACTTTTACAGTTGATAGTTTTTTTGAAGTTTAACCATTTCCTAAGTTTCTATTAAATTAATTACCCATATTACCACCTTCTTAAGCAGAGAAGTTTCAGTATAATTTAAAACTTTTTCTTATGACTCAAAATCATCAATCATCAATATCAGTATTACTATTATATATATCAATAGCAATAGCAATATTGATATAATCAATAATCAAATATATTAGTAATATAATAATACTGATACTGCCTTACAGTAATGTCCTCAGGAGACTGTAGTATATAAGACTGTTTGCCCTATATACTGAATGGTACTGGACTATCATGTTTTTGGGGCCATTTGTCTGCTCTTGTTTTTCATCTTGTCTCTACCACTTGGTGCAATTTGTCTGTCCTTAATCCTCACTTTTGTACCCTGCCCAAGGTTTGCTACATGTGATCTGAGTAAATAGTAAAAACCTCTCGGTGAAGATCTTAACTGTTAGTAATGTTTATGAATATTCAAGGATAGGCATTGTCATATCTGTCTTGGGTTTTTTAGAGTTGGGTTTTGGTATTAGCTTTTTGTCTTCCTGATTCTCAGCTGTTTTTGAAGGTGGAGGGAGAAGCATTTATTTGTGTACCTGCTTTGTTCTGGGTAACTTACATGATCTCACTTAATACTCATCTCACTAAATCTTCACAACAATCTTATGGGAAGATACTGTTTTCTCACTTTATGATGAGGAAAATGAGGACTACAGACTGATTAGGGATAAGATTTATCTGATTTCAGATCTTGTCTGGGCTTTGCATGAAACCAGGCTGCCTGGTTATGATCATCAGATCATAGTCTGCTGCCTTTCCACTCTATTGTGCTACTTGACCTGGTTAGGTACTTGATTTCTAGATGAATTAGTTATTAACTTGTATAAGTCTCAAGTTTCTAGCTTTGAGTGAATGCGAGTTTGAAGTAGTACTAACATGGGAATGGTGACCTTCAAAACAGGTGACCTTGATAAGTGCTATATCCCTGGCCAGCTTTTTTGTGTTGCTTCATAGCTGAGCCACATCAGTTTTATTTAGCTCTCTGTATAGTGGATCAGTTTTATTTGGCTCTCTGTGTAGTGGTATTAGAAACTACCATCTTGACGTTGTTCTGTCACCTGAAGGATGAGCAAAGCAAAAACAAACTATATGTATATATCTATATGGGGGGAGGGAGAGAGGACAGGTTTATGAACCAGTTGTACTGTATGGACTTGATCAAGTACAGTACATTGTGCATAGTAAAAAAAAATCAATGTCTGAAAAAATAGAAAAATAACATTAATGAACTATTAATATATGAGAAGCAGTTAATACATTTTATTCTAATGGAAATTTTAACTAACATGACTTCAGAGTAAACACTCACAAGTCCAGCTGAACATTTTATTTTTAAGAAAAAGACAAATTAACTCTTTAATCAAACATTTTTTTAAACTTAGGTCATGTCATATAAATGTATGATTATTTCTCTGATAATGTAGAGTTTTTCCAATACTTTTCTTTCATGTTCAGTGATAGGAAAGCTGAGTAGATTTTAAAAGGGATAATTTTTCACAGTGAAAATTACAATATATTCTTTCATATTATATGTTCTCTTTGCCTTGTGTTTAGATTTTTTTGACAATTTATTATTATTATATTTATTGTGGAAATGGAGCTTGTTGTCTTCCGTGCCCTATCCCACACATTTGATTATGAAAGAGAGATGTTACTATATCATTCTTCTGTAACCTAAAAGCAGTCAGGTTTTATATTATTTCATATTCAGACTGCTGTCAAGAAACCAATTATAGTACCTGACAGATCCCACTAAAATTTAATTTTTGAAAAGATGTTTCAAAAGACCAAACGCTTCACTTAATTAGAAAATGTTTGGAAACAACCTAGTCTCCCTGTATTGCCTTGTTTTCCTAATAAATTGTCTGTAAGTGATTTTTCTATTAATCTGTTTAAAAGCAGAATTTATTTTTGAGCTTTAGGGAAATATGTCTCATTTCAACTTGCTCTTCATTTTGATAATGGACATGCTTTGCTTCTTCAACAACAGGACAATAGCATCTTTAATTTTTTTATTTTGCATTTGCGTACCGAAAACGTTTTAGTTGTCATTTTTATTTATGTATTTTATTCATAAATGCATCTGTTTCTATACTTTTGTATTAGATTCTGAGGCAACAGAAGAATAGTGATAGTGTTCCAGAGTTGCTTGCTCCTTCTGCCAACTCATGTTAATCTGAGGTTTACAATTCAGCTTTCCTCCAAGGAATTTTGACACTTTTGCATATTCTGCTGTATGGAAATGTAAACTTCCAGAGTTATTGTCTGGAAACTGAATTTCCTATTTTAACCTTATTTCGTTCACACTGCTGCTTGGATTGCAAACCACATGTTTTAGTCTTTATAAAATGTTTGTATCTTCTTGCAAGGATCGCACTTCAGCAATATCTTTGTCATTCTGAAAGTAATGTTTCCGAATGTAATGGTGAAGAATGGTAAGTGGAATCATTACTTCCAGAAGATCACTTACATATTTACTTCATGTTTGTATTCTCATTTGAGCACCTATTCTCCTTTGGAGCACTACATGTGTTCATATATATTTCAGATATCTCATCTTGGCGACTTGAGAAGGGAGTTCATGGTTTTTCTGTCACTTTTTATATATACATTGAACATGCATCTCCATCTACATTTTATTTTAATTCTTTTGGACCTTGATGAATTCTAGATCCAGGTTGGAAAAAATATGGACCTAGCCATGCAAGATCCATTTCTTAACTGCTTTGCTCTCATTTGCCATTGCTGCTGCTTATCTTCCATCCCCTATTGGTAATCAAATCGCATGTTTATAATCAAGATTCTTTCTTCTCTGTGACATTTGTTCTGTGATATAAATGCCATTGGTTTTCATCCAGACTGTGATCTGCCTTCTGGTTCTCACGGAGTAGTACACATGGCCATTACCAGACTCCCTCAAGTGCCAGAAGCAATCAAATATTTTGAATTTTCTCTTATTTTTCTCATTAGGGTGCGGCATAGATGCCAAGCAAGTTGAGGAACAATCTGCAGCTGCAAATGAAGAAGTACTTTTTCCTTTCTGTAGGGAACCAAGTTATTTTGAAATCCCTACAAAAGAATTCCAGCAACCATCACAAATAACAGAAAGCACTATTCATGAAATCCCAACAAAAGACACGCCAAGTTCCCATATAACAGGTGCAGGGCATGCTTCATTTACCATTGAATTTGATGACAGTACCCCAGGGAAGGTAACTATTAGAGACCATGTGACAAAGTTTACTTCTGATCAGCGCCACAAGTCCAAGAAGTCTTCTCCTGGAACTCAAGACTTGCTGGGGATTCAAACAGGAATGATGGCACCCGAAAACAAAGTTGCTGACTGGCTAGCACAAAACAACCCTCCTCAAATGCTATGGGAAAGAACAGAAGAGGATTCTAAAAGCATTAAAAGTGATGTTCCAGTGTACTTGAAAAGGTTGAAAGGTAAAGTGATTTGATCATTCAGAACTTCCTACTTTACGATAAAGAAAATCTGGTCTTCATTTACTAGACTACTAGTAGATACTTACATGGTAGAAAACATTCTGCTTTTTTCAAAGGTTATATTTAGTCTTAAAACTAAACAGGAAGCTACACTGCCCATGTCCAATTTCCTCATTCAAAATAGTCTTCCTTCATTTTCTTGACAAAACCAGATTGGTTTTATGAGCTTATATTTATGCTATAAAACATGTTTCTTTTTCTTCTAGAAATATAAGATTTATTAAGTTTACCAGTAGAGTTCCCTAGAAGATGAGTTCCATCATTTTCTTGATTTAAGGAAAAGATATATTCAATTCTGTTCTCTATTGAGATCAATATCTAGATTCTGAAAGAAATTTTAAGTCATTTGGTCTGAGCCAAAAGTTCTACTTTGGTAATGCAGTCACATCATTGATGGAGCGCTTCAAAGTATTCTCAGTGGTTACTCATAAAACAAAGATTTTTGGTTTAGAAATATTTGGTAGGATCTATTAATCCAGTTTTAAAATTTTTTTTAATATTAGGACTTCATGAAAATTAGAGTTGAATGTTCATTTTTGAAATAGTTATATATACTTTATTTGTGTAGAACTTAGCCAAAATTAGTACAATTTGTATGTTTGTACACTGATGTATCAGCTGATCAGTTTTTTCTCATTGGTTTTGCCAATTAAATTTATTTTAGAATTGAGTATAGATTTATGTTACCCTATCTTTTATTTAATAAGCTATCTATAAGGAAAACGATTTTGAACAAATTGTGATTACACGTTTAGCTGACCATTCTGTTACTATATTAGGAGTTTTTGTACTCCTAACACTTCATCTAGTACTTGAGCATGTGATAGGTACTAATTTGAAAACAATGGGCGATTTCTCTGTCAATGACAAGACTGTCCCTGATTTAATCTGTACCTTATGTCCTGGCATTCTGATCAAGTAATGAAGAAATAGTATTTGTATACTTATTTCTGATTTGCTTCTAAGACATTTCCGGACAGTGAGATGATGTGATTACCTAATTATTTGTTGGAGCCTATCACAATATTTAATTATAGTTATCAGCAGTTACCTGGCATATGTATTTTTGAGACATGATTGTGACATTTTACTTCTAGACAATACGTAATTGAGACATTTTGTTTCTGTAGGTTAACACTCACAAACACATAGGCTGTTTATATGAATTGGATAAATAATATTGATCTCCTAGTACAGTATAAGAGGTAGCTGAACCTTGAGAATTTAGAAATAACTTAGACTTTTTAAAACCACTCTTAATAAACAAAAACTGAGGTAAAATATCCTTTTAAAAGGTAATCATTTTAAAAATACCTTTATTAAACCCATTTATAACTTAGTCATTATAACTATTTTCTATATTGACTATTATTATTACTACTATTTTTTTTTTTTTTTTTTGGAGACAGAGTCTCGCTTTGTCACTCAGGCTGGAGTGCAGTGGCGCGATCTCGGCTCACTGCAAGCTCCGCCTCCTGGGTTCACGCGATTCTCCTGCCTCAGCCTCCCGAGTAGCTGGAACTACAGGCGCCCACCACCACACCCGGCTAATTTTTTTTATTTTTAGTAGAGACGGGGTTTCACCGTGTTAGCCAGGATGGTCTTGATCTCCTGACCTCGTGATCCACCCACCTTAGCCTCCCAAAGTGCTGGGGTTACAGGCGTGAGCCACCGCGCCTGGCCTGTATCGACTATTATTTTTAAGCCATTATTTTAAAACGTTCTGTCCTCACAAGCCCATTTGTGGGCCTAATTCCAAATAGAGGGATTAATGTCCACATGTATACTATATCTGTATTTTAATGATTAGATCTTTTAAGCCCTTACTAGAAATTATGTAATCATATTACTGTTGTCCTTCAAAGTTGATTTATAGGTAGACATACATTCCAGTATGGTGCCAGTGTGAGAACTCTTCTTTTGGATTTGCCTTCAGACCATTTTACAAGCCATTGAAGATAATGTTTTTGTGAATATAACTCATTTTTTGATCCAAGATAGACTCATTTTACTTTTCTGGACATGTGTATAAATGACATGTGACTTTCTCCAAAAGTCAGAGCTTCCATCATTAGATAACAATTTTCCATGATTTAGGATATAAAAAGTATATAGCCAGACTCTAAATAAATGTAATTATAGCAAATAATAAAAATTTTACAAAAATTAGGTTTTCAGCAACTGTTTAGATCAAAGAATTGAAAGTAGGCAAAACAAAACTAAAACAAAAAACTTTGCTCCTACAAGAGTAAAATGCAGGTGCTTTGCGACAGTTTGGAAAATAAAGCCCATACACTTTAACCCTTTAGGAGAGTTGCCACTGTTTTAGGCCACACCACTGACTTGTTACAGCTAACCTACCCTAAAAATATTAAAAGGACTTCAACATATTTAGGCATGGTTAATGATGAGCAAAGGAAAGAAAAGAACTTGGTGAGGACTGTTTCCTAGTGACTTTTTTAATGAGTAGAAACAGAAAATTGCAGCTGTGATGAGATGTTGACTTGTATAACCCTGACAAAATACAAGAGGGAATGGTAATTTTCCAAAAAAGAAAATGACTAATTTATAAGAAAAGTTTTGAACTACAAGTTATAGGAAAGATATTTGAAAGGGCCTGACACCACTAAGTGCCAAATTTTATCTATTGGAATCAATTAAATTCTGTGAAGATGGTATTTTCATTAAAATCTTTCTGTATGTGCGTGATCTGTTATTCTTATGGTACAGCAAATATTGGAATTTAGTTATTTTCAGCTTTTAGAAACTGGATTCCTTTTCAATAGAGCCATTACAACAATGAAATAGGTTGTAAAATCTAGTGTTTTTAATGAAGTCTATATTTGAACTAAGGAGTTTGTTTGGGCTTGCCTTTCATCTGCTATCTGTTATTCCTAGCTTAATTACCTGAGGCAGGGATTTCATTAATTAATCCCATTTTTTCTTTTCAGATTGCATTTTGAGTAGTCAACAATTTGAAGAAAGATCTTCAGATTTGTTGTCATATATGATTTTTATAGTATTAATCACTATTACTTTGATAGACATGATCTCCAAATCACCTTCATTTTGATCTTACTCCCTTTGTTTCCCTTGCCTATTACTTTTCCAAGACATGACCCTTTTCTGTGCATTCCGCAGTTCTCTCTTCTGTGTCTTCTCATTCCTTTTATGCACCACATTTTTATAACTAGTGTTTCTGTGTTAAATCATTGGGACCAGTTAGTAATCTCTAAATTCATTAGGAACAACCTATAAACATTAACACTCAACTTCCCTAGACATAGGTCATTTGCTTCTCCCACCCCCAAGTCTTTCGTGTCTGATCATTATTTTGTTTGGTACCATATTATTCAGTGGGTGTTCACATTAAAATTTGTAGCCCAGGTAAATTTAAAAATCAGATTTAGTCCTGGAAGCATTAGAATGTACCTCGTTGACTAAATTCATTCATAGCTAAAGAAGTTTAAAACTAATTTAAGCTCTGATTTGTGATTCCATTTAAAACATGCACAGAATAACTTGACTTTCTAATAATTTCATGCTATAATAATACAATATCATTTGATTATTTTTATCATATACTTATTATTTAGGTAATGAGAATTTTAAATCAGGAAAAAAATAATTTTTGTGTCATCACATCCAAAACCTAACAGAACCATTAAGGGTAACTAGTGGCTTTTACTTGCTCTAAAATAGAAAAACCTTTGTTAAAGAGGTGATCTTTCAAAATTCCGATATATTCTAACCTGATATGCTTCCTGGGGAAAATAGCTGGTTATATTGAGCACCATGCTGTTTGCCCAGTGGTCCTTAGATCTAGGTGGAGATTTCATAGATGACCCTTTGCATTGATAGACCTCTCAGCATGCTTTCTTTAACTCTGAAGCCACTAGAGTTTGGAGTGCAAATGCAGTTTTCAAAAATTCTCATAGCTGGAAAGATATGTGGAAAAAATTTTGCAATAATTAATGGGGACTACAAATTTGAATCTTTTTAATAAAAAGGAAAAATATGCTGAGCTTCTGAAAGTACTGAACATCAGTGAAGCTTAAGATTCATCACATTTTTACCATACTTATGTTCTCATTTCCTGTGTAACAGTAAGCATTTCAGTGACATTACCCTTTTTCTTGTCTTTTTTCATCTCTAATGCTAGAGTCAAATTTTTTATTGCTAAATAAGATGTATAATTTGAAGGCAGAATTAATGTTTATTGATGTTAGGAATACAAATATCGCAGAGATAGAGCATCAATTATCTATTAAGACATTGATGAAACATTATAAAGTTAAAATTTGGAGAAAGGCGATCCTATTCAGTTGTTTATAAAGGACCTCATTGTTAGTTGATAAAATTTGAATGTAACCATTGCAATTGAGCAAGTTTGCCGAGCCTGTTACTGAAGAGAACATATGACTTTGGATTGAAAAGGAGGAGGGGAGCAAAACAAATAGCACTTTTGTATATGCTTCTAAATTTCTACATGGGACTTTTTCCTTCTCTATTGTGTGTTTTCTTTTTGTATCCAGGAAATAAACATGATGATGGTACGCAAAGTGATTCAGAGAACGCTGGGGCTCACAGGCGCTGTAGCAAACGTGCAACTCTTGAGGAACACTTAAGACGCCACCATTCAGAACACAAAAAGCTACAGAAGGTCCAGGCTACTGAAAAGCATCAAGACCAAGCTGTTGTAAGTCAAACTGCTTTTATGATTGCATTCTTTGATGAAGACAATCCCAGAAAAAGAAGGTCGTATTCTTTTACTCAAAGTGCGGGAATCTTGTGTCAGGAAACTACATATTCAACACCACATACAAAACTTGAGAAAGCAAAGTCTCCAACAGCAGATGCCAAAGTGGTTTCTTTGTCTTTACAGACTAGCTCTGCGCATCACAGAGGGGGGCATGGTGTTCCACATGGGAAATTGTTAAAACAGAAATCAGAGGAGCCATCGGTGTCAATACCCTTCCTACAAACTGCATTATTAAGAAGTTCAGGGAGTCTTGGGCACAGACCAAGCCAGGAGATGGATAAAATGTTAAAAAATCAAGCAACTTCTGCTACTTCTGAAAAGGATAATGATGATGACCAAAGTGACAAGGGTACTTATACCATTGAGTTAGAGAATCCCAACAGTGAGGAAGTGGAAGCAAGAAAAATGATTGACAAGGTAAATAATTGAAATTTGAGTGTGATCTTAGTTGTTGTGTGGTGTATTTGACTGGTGGAAATTATTGGAGAGTCAGCATGAGATGTTGTCATGCAGTCAGTGGTATGTGAATTTTAGGGTTTTGTTAGGGAACTGCAAGACTTAACAGTAAGACCAACATGCTTTGTGATTTTATTTGCTGATATTCTGAATTTACCTGAGTTTCATACATAAAGCTCTGTACATTTAAAAGGTTTGGACCTTTTAAATTTGTGTAAATTAAAGATAGGTTTTAAAAATAGTATGCTTTGGACATTCTTGCTTTGCATTTGCTTAAAAAATAAAAAGAAACAACCAACAAACATTGCTATAACTCTGTTAACATAAATGTAGATATTAGCCAATAATAGTTAACCACAGATTTCCTACCTGCTGATTTCATGTTGGAAGATGAAAATACTTATTTTAGCTTTGTTCTTTGTCCGTATGTTTTCTTAATTTCTATTCACTGCTGTCATTGGTGGTAGAAGAGAAGTATATGAAAACAAAATCAGTTGTTTATGATTTAGTTTACTAGTTTAACCACGTATATGACCAGTCGTGATAGTTACCTACATTTCAAGTGTATTCTTTGATATTATTGGTTAGCGTGTGTAAGGATTGTTGCATGGTTTAAAAAGCAATTTTTCTCAGTTTTGCCAATGGTCGTGAAAGGTTGACTTTAGAATCAGCTATCAAGGTTGCCGTTGAAAGTAATGGCAAAAACCGCAGTGACTTTTGCACCAACCTCATATTACCTCTTGCAAAACAGCAGTATCCGTTTGGCTAAACGTTAATCTTTTGTTTGAATTCTTGTTACTCAAATCCACTCCACGGGTTAGCAGCATAAATATTACTTGGAAGCTTGTTAGAAATGCAGCTTCTCAGGCCCATCCTATATATACCAAGTCAAAATCTACATTAGAAATGAGATCTCCAGTTGACTAATGTGCACATTAACATTTGAGATGCACTTATTTAGATGATGAGTTTCTGGAATGGCCTCTTCAGGGAGGAGGGCAAGATAAGATAACCCTTTGGGATGCAGGAAAAATATTAGAACTTAATGTTTACTTTTATTTTCATATTTTTAATTTTTATTTTGGATTGTGTTCTATAGTGTATAAAATCTCTTACTACACTGTAAGAGAGTACGTATAATTTCTAAACATACATTTATTGTGAAGTACATGCTTCAGGTTTACCACTGAGCTGCTCAACTCCAAACTTTTAGAGACCCATTGTCTGGGAAATAGGTGAGCAATATTATAGTTGTTAATATGAAAAGTATAGTGTTTAAGAAACATCTGATGTTTCTTAATGACTGATCATAATGGCTGATGTTTTCCCATTAAAAGATTATTTTGCAGTGAAGGATTTTATATGTATATATATATAGAGAGAGAGAGAGAGTGCAATTTAAGAACATGGACCCTTGTAAGCAGACAGATCTGGGATTAAATATAAACTTTGCATGTGCTTGTGTGTGCCCTTGGGTAAAGTTACCTCTTTAAGCCTCAGTTTCTTTTATCTCTGAAACAGAGGCGATATCACTAGATTATAAAAAGAATTCAATAAAACATGTAAAAGGCTTATCACAATACCTATCTTATTATATTGCTTTATAAGTGTTGCTTTATCATTACTGTTATTAGGAGTTTCCACATTTGAATCTCTACATAAAGTACTGACAAATCCCAGAATGTTCTTTCAGCACTGAAAGGGTTAAATATAAAACCACAATGGAAGTGACAGTGTGAGGGGCTAGCTTGGCCAGGACAGCAGAAAGCCAAGAAAGAAGTCATTGTAGCAGATGAAACTCTTCAGGAAACTGCTGGATAGAGAGGGTGGCCACAAAACCTGTTTTACACCTGTTGCCTACAATTATCATAAGCATCATTTTTTATTCTCAGAGTCCATTTTGACAGCAAATTATATGGTCACACTGTGGATAGAGAAACCCAAGACTTTAGAGCAGGAGTCATTTAAAGGAGTAATGGTAGTGTGTGACTGTGTACATAGTTCAAAGTCATTCTTAGTTTGTATAAACCAGAAAATGAAGCTGAGACCATATTGCTGGGAAGAACAAAGCTCACTACATTATCTTGTGACTACCAAAGAAAAAGAGCTAAGATTCCATTAGCTTGAATCCACATAAAGCTTAAAGCCAAATTCGGGCTAATTAAAGTCAGGCTCTGGGAAAACAAAAGCATAAAAGCAGTAATCATGTCTGAGTAAGATGAAGTAACCTGTGGGTATGAAGAAAACAAAGACCAACAACAGCCAGAAGGAAGGCAGAAAAAGCACTTTGGGAGGATAGGAGTAGATACAGGCATCATATCAAGTTGCCTGGATGAGTGTTGTCATCCAGTTTCTCCATTTTGAGGTTTGGGTGTGTGGGATTGAAGTTGGGGCCATCAGCTGTTGTTTGTCTGAATTTAAATGTTCTTTGGTCCTGGAAACGTTCATGTGGTCTAACTCTTCTTTTCACGTCATCATTTGAGATGTGTTCTATTTCATTGATTCATTTATTTAGCAACTTTAATTCAACATTAACTATGTGCCAGGCTTTGTGTCTACGAGAAGGTGATTCACAATGAAAAGACTGAGCTCTTTCTCTCAGGAAATGGCTGTGTACTGGAATAGATATACACAGACAAAAACCAAGACTTTAAAAATAAAGCTGTTGGAGGAAAGCTACCAATAGCTTCCAAGAGGAGATCTCAGGTCTTCAGAGGACATTCCTTCCTCAGAGAAGTCTTTAGTCATTCAGTTAAAAAAAAAAAAAAGTAGTCACTGTCATCAACTTGTTTCATTTTAATCATAAGCTTTATTACTGCTTCACCAGTTCACTGTTTATTCATTTGCCTCCCTACTCCCATTGGAAAGAGACACAAACAAATGTAAACTCCATGACTGTAGGAACCTAGTGCCAGCATATAAAATGTCCTCAATAAATATTGCCAGCTGAGCTAGTCGTGAAACATACGTAATTAATCCCATAACAGGCATGCTAGGTAGAGTTTTCCAGAAATATGGAACAGCCTATTCGAAAGCACAGGAGCACACATGACTTGTTCAGAGGACCACAGTTACTTTTGAAGAGATGAGATTGGACTCGATATTGAAGTTCATTATATATCATACTGAGGACTTTAATGCCGAAGGCAGTGGGGAATCATTGAAAACATTTAAGTAGGGCAATGACATGGTCGAGTCACTGTCAGAAGTGTGAAGTATGGATTGAACATTGGAAATGCCAGAAGCACAGAAGGCAATCTAAAAGCTGCTGTCATGTCCAGTAGTCAATTAGTTAATGACTAGATCTTAGGTAAGAGGCCTGGGCTAAAAATACAGATCTGGGAATTATTAGACAATAGAGGGCAGCTGTCTTAGTATGTTTTGTGTTGCTATATCTGAGACTGGGTAGCTTATCAAGAAAAGAGGTTTGTTTAGCTCACAATTCTGCAGGCTGGGAAATTCTAGAGCATAGCTCCACATATGGCTGGCTTATGTTAAGGGCTACATGCTGGGTCAAAACATGGTAGAGAAAGTCAGAGGGGAAGTGGACATATGCAAAAAGGCAAAACAAGAGGGGCTGCCTCACTTTATAACAGTCTACTGTGAAGGGAACAAATCCATTCCCATAAGAACAAGAACTCACAAGATAGCATTAATATATTCATGAGAGATCTGCCTTTTTGACCCAAACACCTCCCATTAGGCCTCACCTCCCAACACTGTCACACTGGCAATTAAACTTCTACATGAGTTTTGGCAGGGACAAACCACATCCAAACCATAGCAGTAATTGAATACAAAATAAGAGATGAGATTAATCAGAGAAAATGTATAGGGTGAGAGCAAATAAAGTATGAAAATCTCAGCAACACCAACATTGATGGACAAAGGAGAAGGGGGAACAAAGGAAACTGAAAAATATGTAACAGGAATAAGAGAAAACCAAAGGAATATGTAGCATCTTGGAATAAAAAGCAGAGCAAAGAGAAGTCAGTAAGCAACAGTATCACATGACACACTGATGTTAACTATGATGAGCACAGAATGCCTTTTCAGTTTTTCTCCAAAATACATTGTAATTCTTGGGCTAAAGAAGATGAGCAAACCGTGTATTTGCATCTTACCTTGGGAAGAGTTGCATAGCATTAAAATAGGATTTCTTTAAAGAGATGACCAAGCTAAACTGCTGTATCCTTATTTTTCTGTGCTGGTAGTAGTTAAAAGATAGTGAACTACCTACCCTCTTTTTCTGTCGCCAAGTTATGAGATTACAGCATTTGGGTTTGTATTTTGGGGCTGTCTCTCTCAATAGATCACCTTATTTTATGCATGTCCTCAAATTCACCTTTAAAATGTTAACACAAATACCTGATATTGATAAAGACCTCTTAAGTTTTACATCTAAGTTTACATGGAAATACACTATAAGAAAGTGCTGTTGACTGCCTAGATTAAAGGCATTTATCTCTCATACTAGTAATTATCTCTCCCAACCCTCTCTCCCTTGGCCTCTCCGATAACTACCTTCCCATCACAGTACCAGTTTCTTCTCTCCACTCTTCCATCAAAAGAGATAACCACTGAGGCAAGAGGAAGACCTTGTCAGGGTTACTTCCTAACCTCCTAAGCTAAATAGGAGAAACTTGTGGTAAGAACAGAAAGCTAAACATTAAAGGAACAAGAAAAAATGATCATTGTGGAGGGCTTGAGGAACTATCCTCTTAAAAGAAATATTTCTCCTCATAAATTTCATACCATAGACCAACTCTGCCAGATACTTTTCTTGTCCTGAGTTTTGATTCTTGTTCATTGTGTCAATATATCTCCCCTACAAAGCCTCTTACTAGCGTCTTTTCTTCCCTCATAGGGCCTGGTCACTGCTGGTTCTATAAGCAACAGTTGGTAGGGAAGAATCTAGAGCCAGGAGACCTATAACAAAACTAGAAACATGGGAGGAAGAACATTTACAGCAGTGAGTCAAACAGCTCAAGAAAGTCAGTGCTGCGGATCTGGACCCTGTAAAAATATTCCAAACCCTGAAAGTCACAGCAAGATTTAAGATGAGATCCAAGTAAGAGCCAGGGAAACGATGATAAACCAGAATCAAAATCTATGTAGAAGAAGGCAGGATGTCCAAAGTCCACTCAGATAGAGAATTAGATGTGCATGGGAACTCAAGGAGTAGGAGATCAAGTGAGAGCCTTGGACAATAGGAGAAGACTTTGACGACAGTCAGCATTTTTATTTTTGACTGAGCAATTTTTTCTGTATTGAGAATTTTTTCTTTTTAATTTCTACCAGGAGAGCTTACTTTTGGTTTCTCTGATTAGTTCTCCTCAACCCTTCTTAACCTCTGCTGCCTCCTTCCTGGGTATAAGAAACCCTCTCCTGCTGTGTTAATTTCCAAAGCTTCACGAGGGAACCCTCACCTTTTATTCAGCCAGACGCCTAACATAATAGGTTTGTCCTCATTTTCCTTTCTCTCTTATTGTATGAAATTCTATTTATTTTCCTCTTTGAGGAAATTGTGCCCTCAATCTAATAAGCTCTTCCTTGTCTTTTTGGCATGCCTAGCTTCTCATAATTCATTTTATTTATTCCTTCCATCTTTTTATTGTGGAAAATATATATAAGAAAATTTATCGTCTTAGCAATTTTTAAATGTAGCGTTTAGTGTTATTAAATACGTTTAAAATGTTGCACAACCATCACCGCCATCCATCTCTGTAACTTTTTGTCTTGAAAAATGGAAACTCTATACCCATCTCATAATTCACTTTGAAGTGGCTTTTACTCACCACTCTATTTAAAGTAGTTGCGTCATTCACTTCTTATATCTCTCCATCAGATTGCCATGTTGTGTTTTCTTTATAGAACTCACTTCCGTCTGGTTTATTTTCTGTTTGTTCACTCTAAGATTTTGTTATTTGTCTTGTTCACATCGTATCCCTTGTGTCTAGAACAGTGTCTGGCATGTAATAGACACTCAATAAATATCTTTTGAATGTGAATGAATGAGAAAGAAAAATTTGTGACCTGCTTTTTCATTTGTTAGCATTTGTGTATGATTCGTTGTAGATTGGCTAACTTATTTCAATGAATTTATAGATTAATTAAATCCAACCATGCCCCCACAAAGAAATTTTTCTGCATTTTTATATGCTGAAACTAGTTTATATCTTGATTCCAAAATAACTTGTTAAAATATATAGTTTAAAACCTTGTATATATTATAAACTTAGCTTTGTAATATTAAGTATGAAAGCAGCAAAGATAGATAGTCTCAGAAGAAGAAGAAATGTATAAATTTTGGGGAGATGCTGTGATAAATAGACTAGACTTACCTTTGAGTTCCTAGCGATACCTACCTGACAGCTTCCAGCTGGAAAATCTGCTTGGCAAGGAAAGGGGAATATGATTATTGATGAACTTCCAGCTTATAGGGACTGTAAGAGGGGATACATGACCAGGGAATGAACCATAAAAGGGAGAGAAATTGGACATTTAAATTTTAGAGGAATTAGATGAGATCTAAGTATAATTTGAAGATATGAAAGAAAGAGCAAATCGAGAAAGATGTAGGAAGTGATGGGAGGGAAGAGATTATGGATGTAAGACTTCTAAGTAATGGGGAGAATCAAGGACACAAGGTAGGTTAAGAGGGAAGACAAAGATTTAAGAACATGTTTTCACCCAGACAGGAGAGCAAAGGAAGAAGACAGAGGCTGAGCGCAGTGGCTCACGCCTGTAATCCCAGCACTTTGGGAGGCCAAGGCGGGTGATCACGAGGTCAGGAGATTGACACCATCCTGGCTAACACGGTGAAACCCCCTCTCTACTAAAAATACAAAAAAAACAGCAGGGCATGGGGCATGAGCCTGCAATCCCAGCTACTCGGGAGGCTGAGGCAGGAGAATCGCTTGAACCCGGGAGGCGGAGGTTGCAGTGAGCCAAGATTGTGCCACTGCACTCCAGCCTGGGTGACAGAGCAAGACCCATCTCAAAAAAAAAAAAAGAAGAAGAAGATAGAGTCCCATTTAAAGAAAATATGAGGTAAAATTCATATAATATGAAATTGACTATTTTAGCCATTTAAAGTATACAATTCAGTGGCTTTTAGTACATTCACAGGGTTGTACAACCATCAGCACTATCTTAATTTCAGGGCATTTTCATCACTGCAAAACCAAATCTCATGATCATTAAGCAGTCACTTCCCATTCCTTCCTCTCCCAGCCTCCTGGCAGCCACTAATCTACTTTTTGTCTCTATGGATTTGCTTATTCTAGACATTTTGTATAAATGGAATCATACTATATGTGGTCTTTTGTGACCGGCTACTTTCACTTGGAATAATGTTTTCAAGGTTCACATGTGTTGTAACCTGTATCAGTACTTCACTCCTTTTTTTTTTTTTTTTTTTTTTTTTTTGAGGCAGAGTCTCGCTCTGTTGCCCAGGCTGGAGTGCAGTGGCGTGATCTCGGCTCACGTTATGCGATTCTCCTGTCTCAGCCTCGCTAGTAGCTGGGACTACAAGCACTTGCCACCACGCCCGGTTAATTTTTGTATTTTTAGTATAGATGGGGTTTTGCCATGTTGGCCAGGCTGGTCTCAAACTCCTGACCTCAGGTGATCCACCCGCCTTCGGCCTCCCAAAGTGCTGGAATTACAGGCACGAGCCACCACTCCCTGCCCATTCCTTTTTATGGCTGAATAAATATCTTATTGCGTGCATAAACCACATTTTATTCATCCATCCATCCACAGATGGATAATTGTGTTCTTTCTTCCTTTGGCTGTTGTAACACTGCTGTGAATGTGCATGCACATATATTTATTTGTGGACCAGGATAAATTATAAAATGTCTCTCCTGACTCCCTTTCTGTGCTCTTCTAATAATTTTGTCTGAATTTTAAATTTAAAAGTTGATTACAAATATGTGATAAAAATCACAGTGTTAAATATTCACAATAACTTATTCCATGGAATTTTAAGGGATTTTTCTTTTTAAAAGTAAAATTAGATTTTCATAGACAATTACAAAAATAAATTCCCCTCTTAAATCATCCTGATTTAGTTCCTTGACACTAGTGGCTAGAATTCTGCATAATTCTTAATTCTTAAAGTGTCAAATTATTTTCATGGGCCATGGGAACCTCTACTATTGATTTGATCCAACAGAGACCCTGCTCTCCTTACCCAAGAAGTCTTTGCTCATTGAGGAGGAAGATGTTCTGGTTATCTGAGGTTGAAACTTGAGTACATTTTTACTTGGACACCTTGATGTGATTGATATACTAATGCAATACTGTTTTTCAGTTGTTACTTTAAAATAAGATTGTAGAAGTTAGATGTTTAATCTGCCATTATATTTTTCATTTCTGTGGGAATATGAATTCTGAATTCCTACTGATTTGGATATTTTTTAAACTAATAAATTAGCACTATTGCTATTGAATTATCATTTTGCTCTACATTGTATTACTATAGTTTTATGCCTACATCTTACCCCACGGCGCTTCTCTTCTTTCACAATGGTCTCTATTTTCTGTCACAATCAGCAAGCTTCCCGTATCTGATGTTACTAAATGTAAATTTTGACCTCTCTGCAAATATTCAATAGGTAGGATATTTATCTGCATGAAAGTTGACCCTGTATCCCCCATCCTCACCATTCTGATTTCAGAATTGGACACTGTGCATCTTTGCACAGACTGAGCTTTTCAATAATAATGACTATGATCATAATATGCTAGTGAAAAAAATCAGTCAAACTTTTCATAGGTTTGGTTTGTATTGTACGAGTTTGTTATCTGGAGAATGTTTAGTCTCTTTAAACTTAAAACTAAAATCTAAAAATATCGTTTGGTTCTTATGGATATTTGGTTTTAATTACAGAATATTCCTGCATGGTTCTTTCAGGTGACAGCCTCTTCTTTTTATAAGCTCCTTTATCAGACGTAACCTCCTCAAAAGCAAAGACTGTCATACAGATTTTGTAATCCCCTGCAGTGGCTAGCCAAGTAGCCTGTGGAGAGTAAGTGCCATTCCTCAGTAACAGGTTGTTAAAATTGTTTACAGTAGCCACTGAGCTTTGGATTTGAAATCCCAAAGTGAAATGCCAAATATACAAATGTATTCAGAAGAAAAGATTGTTTCATGATTGTTGGAGTGGGATAGGGAGGGAGGTACTGCCTTCTTACCCCAGACCTAAAGGCCATGGCAGAGGGGTTGTGGCTCACTCCACAGAGATGTATCTACTCGGATCGGGGGAACTGTAGGAGAGAATATGTGAAAGCCACTTCCTACGCCCAGTACGAATGAGTTGTCTTTAAACATCTGCCAGGCCCAGACAGCTCTCCATGCAAGTGCAAGTTCACAAAGGAGTTTTCACCTCCTGTCCTATTCCGCCTTCCTTTGATCCTACTCTGGAAGAATTAGAAACTGGCAAACTTGGGGTGCAAGCATAAAAATTAGGTGTCTCATCTCCTTCCCCACTGTGGACTTCTAGCCTACAGAAGTTCCTAGCTGAATGAAAGACCTAGATTTTGTACTATCTCATGTTTGGGATTTGGATTGAGACCAGACCAGAGAAGAGAATCATGAGCCTAGAGGTGAGATACTATGTTGGAAATACCTTTGAGGCCGGGCGTTGTGGCTCACGCCTGTAATCCCAGCACTTTGGGAGGCTGAGGCAGGCAGATGATGAGGTCAGGAGATGGAGACCATCCTGGCTAACACGGTGAAACCCCGTCTCTGCTAAAAATACAAAAAATTAGCCAGGCGTAGTGGCGGGCGCCTGTAGTCCCAGCTACTCGGGAGGCTGAGGCAGGAGAATGGCGTGAACCCGGGAGGCGGAGCTTGCAGTGAGCCGAGATCGCGCCACTGCACTCCGGCCTGGGCGACAAAGCGAGACTCTGTCTCAAAAAAAAACAAAAAAGAAATACTGTTGAGCCTTCCAGCAGGTGGGATGACAGTAAGCAACAGTCTAGATAGTTGGTAATTGAAGTGAAGCCTTGCATGTTCCTAGGTGAAATCACCTGGGAATAGAATCTAAAATGAAAGGTGAGAGAACCTAGCATACTTGGTCTTGGTTTTG
This sequence comes from Homo sapiens, assembly GCF_000001405.40. NCBI lineage: Eukaryota > Metazoa > Chordata > Mammalia > Primates > Hominidae > Homo > Homo sapiens. Next base: position 187,747 of record NT_187519.1, on the reverse strand, counting down.
AGGAGCTCTCAAGTTCTGTACAATTATCAGCTCTTTTTTCAGACTGTAGGTACCTTTTATAAGTGTGAAAAGTACACTAACTTTAAGTATATAGACAGTATAAACTTTATATATTTGTTTTCACATAAAAGTTGTCACAGGTGGATGTGTTTCTACTTAGAGGCAGAAACGCATAGATATGGATTTCAATCTGGGCTGGTAGTCATTGCTATCATTAATTTTTCAAAACGCTATCAAAACAGATGTGAAATTTGAAGGCTTCTTTCCCCACACTGTAGTAGGTCAGGCCCTACCACTTGTTTGGAGAAGAAATAATTGTTACTTAATAATGTATGTATAGCTGTCTCTGATGCTTTAAAAGGAATCTGTCGAACGTCATCGAAGTATTTTCTGTCCGGCTTCAGCTCCCCTTCCTCACAGGATTAGTTCGTGTGTTTTTTGTTGTCATTTCAAAGTGGTGTCAGAAGTGATTTAGAGAGGTTCATGATATTTTATTTGAAACTGCTGGTGCTTAGATGTTTGAGGAAATCAAGTTTTTAGTGTGGATTAGAATGAAATATTCATCAGAAAATCACTCAAGATAATTTCTAAATTACATGTCAAAGAGATGCAAAAATGCAAGTACTCATGTGGTTATTTTAACTTTCAAACCTGAGTTAGATTTTTGTTAGTAATTATAAAATAAGTAAATAAACTTCAGTAAAATTGGAGTTCAGTGACTTGAGTTAGGAGTGATTAACTTTTTTAAAGACGGACACAAATAACTTGAATAGCTATAATTTGCTTTCTTTACAAGTGGGGGTTAAAGGTAGAGGACACAGGTTATACTCTGGTTTTTTCACTGCTGTTAAACTTAACGCTAATGTTAAGCAAAACGAAGCAGTTTTTGTTTTTTCCCTTCTGTACATTGTGCTTCCATGTATTAAAATTCATATTTGATTTAAAATAAACAATACATAATTTGCTCTTAAAGCAAAGATAATTTAAATATTGAGGAGTTCAAGAGAATATTAAATCATAATTCTTGACAATTATAGTTATGTTAGAATTAAATATTAAGTAATAAGACCATCTAGTGGTAAAATTTTCAAGTTTTAGTGAATGAGAAAGTCTGATACCTGTTTCACTAAATATGAACTTTAGAGCTTATCAGATAGCTGTACTATAAGACCATTAAAACTTTATGTCTAGAAAATAGTTTAGCCTGAGGTAGCTTCTCCTTATAGAAAATGAAGGCTCTCTGGTTATATCCTAAAGATCCTGTCTGCAAATTGCTCATTCAAATGCATGATATTTTTCTAGATTGTAATAATCAGAGCCACAAACAATAACTATAAAGAATAAAAATTGGGAACACAGTGGAGATTTAATAGCAGAATAGAATGTTAATATTTATATGCCTAAAATTTTTCCAATCTATTCTGTGACATCCAGGGCCTATTATGTGCCAGGAAATGAGTAAGACTCAGGTCCTGCCCATAAAAGAAAAGCACGCCATTGTTTGTCTTTGTATTTAGAACTTTTCAGAAGTGTTGGACATTGACAACTTGCTTTTTGAAACAATTAATCTTAAATAGGCCTGGAATCTGCATTTCAAACAAAGGTCTTTAAGGGATTGTTAGGCAAATACAGTTTGAGAATTATGCTATCTACTATGTCGCAATTATACAATAAAATGGCATCTTAGAAAATTTCATGCCTAAATGTAACTCAGATGTGTAAATGGTAAACATTTGCTAGGGAAGGAACAGATAAAATCAGCCACATGTTTATGGTTTTTCAACAAGTGTCACAAAAATAATAGAGCAAAGAAGCTGAAAAGAAACTGAAGAGATACTTTTTTCTAACTCTTTGCATTGTTGTACTGTTTAACAACATTATTAAATCTTTTTTTTTTTTTTTTTGAAACAGGGTCTCACTTTTTCGCCCAGGCTGGAATGCAGTGGCGTGATCTCAGCTCACTGTAACCTCCGCCTCCTGGGTTCAAGCTATTTTCTTGCCTCAGCCTCCCAAGTAGCTGGGACTATAGGCACATGGCACCATGCCCAGCTAATTTTTGTATTTTTAGTAGAAACGGGGTTTCACCATGTTGGCCAGGCTGGTCCGGAACTCCTGACCTCAAGTGATCTGCTCGCCTCGGCCTCCCAAAGTGCTGGGATTACAGGTGTGTGCCACCACGCCTGACCTATTAAATCTTTTAACAAATAAAATATGTCTTGAATATTTTTTTTTAATCGAACAGGACATTTGCTAAATGTTAAAAAAAGGATAGTTACTTTCGGCCAGGCATGTTGGCTCATGCCTGTAATCCCAGCAGTTTGGGAGGCCGAGGCGGGCAGATCACCTGAGGTCGGGAGTTCGAGACCAGCCTGACCAACATGGAAAAACCCTGTCTCTACTACAAATACAAAATTAGCCGGGCATGGTTGCGCATGCCTGTAATCCCAGCCACTCGGGAAGCTGAGGCAGGAAAACCTCTTGAACCCGGGAGGCGGAGGTTGCGGTGAGCCGAGATCACGCCACTGTACTCCAGCCTGGGCAACAAGAGTGAAACTCCGTCTCAAAAAAAAAAAAGGATAATTACTTTCACATAAGCTGTGACTGCCTGCTTTCGTTTCTAGCTATCACAATTAGCTGTTACTGTCATTCAAGAAGTTTTCCTTAGTTTTGAAATTAACTATTAAAATTAATTTGGAATATTTTTATTTGCCTCTGAAGTTAATTATACTATTCACATATTAATCTTGTGTTCAGACTTTTCGTTTTCATTTATAAAATAATTTTTCCCTCTAGGTGTTTGGAGTAGATGACAATCAGGATTATAATAGGCCTGTTATCAACGAAAAACATAAAGATCTAATAAAAGATTGGGCTCTCAGTTCTGCTGCAGCAGTAATGGAAGAAAGAAAACCACTGACTACATCTGGATTTCACCACTCAGAGGTATACATCTCTTCTGTGTACCTATTTGAATGCATAAAGTATAAATTCTTTTTTTTTTCTTGTCTGAGACAGAGTTTCACTCTGTTGCCCAGGCTGGAGTGCAATGGCAGGATCTCGGCTCACTGCAGCCTCTGCCGTCTGAGTTCAAGTGATTCTCCTGCTTCAGCGTCCCAAGTAGCTGTGATTACAGGCGTGCACCGCCATGCCCGGCTAATTTCATATTTTTAGTAGAGATGGTTTCACCATGTTGGTCAGGCTGGTCTCGAACTCCTGACCTCAAGTGATCCACCCGCCTCAGCCTCCCATGGTGCGAGGATTACAGGCATGAGTCACCGCACTTGGCCTGAATTCTTATCATTTGTAAATTACATTATTTTAAGCAATTAATGTATCTCCTTGTAAAATGCTTCTAAAAACTAAATTTTTATAAATTTATTTTCTAATGAAAGCCTAAAGCAATTTTGCAGTAATTCAACTTTAATTTTTATTAGGTGTTAGAAATATTCATTTGTCAATGAGGAAAATATTAGGTTTCAGTAAGCAGTTAATGAGCTATATGCTCATGGTTCTGATTGGCATTATGAGATAAAACAAGAAACATATCCTGCTTATACTTTCTTAGAAGTATATGTTTCCTGTATATCATACCAGGAAACATGTACGAGGGCACTGCCTGATAGATACAGTTTATATAACTCAGTAACTGCAAATACAGTACAGCCCGGGATATAATTAGAATAATATGAAATTAATTAAGGATTGCTTGGTTAAGATAATTACAGAGTCAGTATGCATAGTAGAGCTAGAAAGATCTGACCCAGAGCTGCCACTTTTAGCTCAAAGCTTTTGAATCAGTCACTTCTCCCTTATCTTCTGTTTTCTCATCTACACAAATGGCATTTTTGATAAAATATTTACAGAGAATTTAATGAAGTATATAAAGCATCCAGCATAGTACTTGCCTGAGATTTATGCACTTAACAAATGTTTTTTACCTTTATCAGAAATGATATTAGAATTTCATACCACATTGATGTGTCAAAAAGAAATGTAAAAAAGTATCTAAGGCATAAGTATTAATTATTATTTATTCAGATAATAAGAGCTAACCTTCAATGGAAGCTTTCGTTCTCTGACTCATGCTATATTGTCTCTCAGGAAATGAGCTAATTTGTAATATACAAATATAAATTAATAGAAAATAGGAAATAAAAGAAGAAAAAATATAAAAGAAGAAAATCAAGGTATAAATAAAGAAAATATAAATAAAATGTTACATTTGTATGAAGTATAAATAAGATTTGTTTCTTACATACAGGTAAATAGACCTATATGTTTGTTTGTTTATTAATGTTAAAATTGTTTCTTTATATGGCCTATTTCCTGAAAACTGTCAAAGCAATTACTGTATTTTAGTGCTCATTATTTCCCTGTGATTGGGAGAATTTTTATTCTGGTTTCTGTTTTATGAGATACTTAATTTACTTATTGAAAGCAGGTGATAATTATTTGAGGCAATATGATGCCATTCTGAGTAACCCAGGAATGGTTTTGGTAAATGTGAATTTAAATAGACTCTCTTCTTTCTTCTCTATTCCTTCAACCCCTGCCAAGCAAAAGCTATAGCCCTGGTAGGTTCCTTTGTAGGAATTACCTAACATTACCTAACAGGACATTTAGAACACTCTTCACAGAATGGTTTTACATACGCGTGTGTCAGTGACGCTCATACTGTTGGTATTCTTAGCATGGTCCACATGGCTCTGGTACCACCTTCACTGCTCAGAAATGTGGGCAGGTAACAGAAAACCTTGGATGGGATTAAGGATGCAGCAGGCTTTGGTATCCTTAGGAGGCTTCACTGTATGTGTGTCATTCTCTATACTTACTATTCTGTTTTTTTGAGACGGAGTCTCCCTCTGTCACCCAGGCTGGAGTGCAGTGGTGCCATCTCGGCTCACTGCAACCTCTGCCTCCCGGGTTCACGCGATTCCCCTGCCTCAGCCTCACAAGTAGCTGGGACTACAGGTGCATGCCACCACGCCCGGCTAATTTTTGTGTTTTTCGTAGAGACGAGGTTTCGCCATGTTGGCCAGGCTGGTCTCGAACTCCTGACCTCAGGTGATCCACCCGCCTTGGTCTCCCAAAATGCTGGGATTACAGGCGTGAGCAACCACACCTGGCCTGTACTTACTATTCTTACCTACTATTCTTGAAATCTTATAGTGATTTATCTATTTGAAGTCTTCACTTCTTCAGTGTTTAGCTTGTCATTATTAATGTATTAAATCTGGCACTTTTTTTTTTCTTTTTGAGACGAAGTCTCGCTCTGTTGCCAGACTGGAGTGCAGTGGCACGATCTCAGCTCACTGCAACCTCCACCTCCTGGGTTCAAGCAATTCTCCTGCCTCAGCCTCCCAAGTAGCTGGGATTACAGTCATATGCCACCATGCCCAGCTAATTTTTTATTTTTAGTAGAGACAGGGTTTCACCATGTTGGCCAGGGTGGTCTCGATCTCCTGACCTCATTATCCACCTGCCTCGGCCTCCCAAAGAACTGGGATTACAGGCATCAACCACCACACCCGGCCCAAATCTGACACTCTTAATAAAATATTTGTTGTGACTAGTTGGTAATAAAGTTTCCATCGTAGCTTTCCACTCCCTAGTTGTCATTACAGTTTTCATATGAAGCCTTGGCTTGTCTTGGATTTTCATTGAGAGGTGTCATTTTTAGTAACATAGTTTTTTTCAGAGAAGATCTTTATTTTCTAGAGAATTTTTATTTTATATAAGAGAAGATGTAATCAATGATAATATAGCAAGGTGAGGTTTAATTATGGGTTTGTATGGCAAGTTAATGTGACTAAATGAAATTGTCTTTCATGAGACTCAGATATGACCAGGCTGCATGATTTTGTTTTCTTATTTTTCTCCTTTAGGAAGGCACATCTTCATCTGGAAGCAAACGTTGGGTTTCACAGTGGGCTAGTTTGGCTGCCAATCATACAAGGCATGATCAAGAAGAAAGGATAATGGAATTTTCTGCACCTCTTCCTTTAGAGAATGGTATTCTCTTTCTCTCTTTCATTCTTTATCCCTTTTTTCTTCTCTTTCTCCATTTCTCTCTCTTTCTCTTACTCTTCTCTGCTTTTTTGTGAATCATATATCAGTTGTTATTATAAAAAACAAGCCAAATCTATATAGTAAGAAGTAAGTTAAACCTAAATAAACATATTCACATATTCTCATGCTGATAAATGAATTCATTTTATAAGTAAAAGGCTGATTTTTATTAGATATTGTATATTTTGAGGGATTTTAAGCAGGGGACAAATTCAAAGTGATAAAACTCTTTTTTGAGAAATTTTGTGGACTTCGTAAGTTGAGACTTCCTAAGGACAGGTGGACAGACACCAGCTTGGATTTAATATTTCATTCCGAGGCACTTTTCATTTTAGTTGTAAATTTCTGCTGTTGAAAATAAGAATGGTTTTTAAATTTTGTCTTTACTTTTAAATGAAAATTCTTCCTACTCTTTCTGATATGCTGATATCTTAAGATATGATTTTGACTAATGATGCAGCTATTATTCAAGTATAAACTTAACTGAAGATAAGGAAATAATTTTTAGATGAAGCATATATAGGTGTGTGTATATATTACATAGAAAGATGAAGCACATATATATTATATATATATAAGTTAAAATTTAAAAATAAGCTGAAGACAGGTCCAAACGATTTCATTCATAAATACAACAGATATTTATTGAGTGCCTACTTCATGTGGTACATTTAGTGAAAAAGAAGTTAATAATCTTACAAATCTATGTAGTATGACTTTTATTACCTTTTATATTTCTGTGAACAGAAATATAAAGGCTTTTTAAACAAAATGAAGTTGTGTACCTTCAAGGATTTCATTATTACTTTTTGTTCATTAGTTTTCTAATTAACAATAAGACCCTGAAAGGAGGATGAGGAGATGATGGTCAAAAGGTACAAAATCTCACTTAGACAGGTGGAAGAAGCTTTTTTTTTTCCTGAGGTCTGCTGCACAGCATGGTGAATATAGTTAATAATATAGTATTGTACATTTTAGATGTTCTCATCACAAAAAGTGTTAACTCTTTGAGGTGATGAATATGCTAAGTAGCTTGATTTAATTATTTCACATTGTATTTATGGTCAACATTTTATACACCATAAACATATACAAATATAAATTGTCAACTTACAATAAACAATTAAAAAACTTATCCAAGTTGAAAAATAAATACTCACTTACAGTTAAAAAGCAAAAAGACCCTCAATGAGATTTTGTATGTGGCTTTTATCTGTTTTCTTAATTTCATTCCGGTTGAAAATGGAAATTTGTTTTGTCTCAGGCTTGTGGCACCCCAAAAATCTGTTTTAAGAATTTTGTAAGTATTAGAAGTATTTGAGGAAGCTACATAGCAGTGTACTAGAAAAGCTACGTCATTTATTTATATTAGAATCTAGAAGTTATTGATAGTATGACCAAAAATTCTTTTGAGGGAACAGAGTCATTTGGTTCGTATAAACTGTGTTTAGGAAACAAAGAAACCAGACAGAAGGCTAGATAACTTTACCAAAGAATCCGTTATAAAATTATTAAGTATTATCTGTGAAAAGCAAAGTTCTACCCTTGTTATAAAAAATAATAGACCACTTAGCTTTCATGATCTCATTTCTATGTCATCATATTTAAATGAACTTATTTACATAAGCTGATAAATCTACTTAAATAATAAAACGTTTTTGTTAAGCATATTGAATGTATATGAGGAGGGGGCAGTATGAGAAATACTGGAAAAATACAAAAGGGTAAAGTAGCCATTACATTCTAGATGCTTCAGTTAGCACTAAGGAGATAAGATATATGAAAGAAGAAACAAAACAAGATATAACATGATTAATGACTAAAGTTAAATCTATCAGTTCAGTATGGATTTTCCTCCATCACATCCATTGTATTGATATGATATTTAAATACTAAACTTTTAGGATTGTAAAGAGGAAAAAAAAGACCCACAGAAGCTATATCTAGTATCTTTTCTCCATTTATCCCTAAAAGATTAGGAAGCTTTATATGTTAATTTATATTTCCCTGAAAAGATGTTTCCCTTTTCTCAGAAATACATTCCATTTTTAATAGTCAGGAAAATCCTTAAATATTCTCAAATTCTCTCAGGTGGAAAAATCAAAATATATATTTTCTCATTGGCTTCTACTTGAAAAAAAAGAAAGGGATTTTGTATTTCCATATGTGGCATTAATAACCAGAAGACTATAATTTAAAAATTCCTCAATTTATAAAATTTTGCTATGTCCTAACTATGAAAAGTCTGCTGTTACATACTTACAATTTTTAAAATTCTTTTAATCGGCTATAGATTTTTTTAAAATGTTGTTAAAAGTTCTGCATTTTTCACTTTACTTAGGAAATCCAAAATTATCATTCTTTCAAGTAGATAATACTTTTTAAAAACTAGTTATGTTGTTCTTCTCTACTATGTAGTTGAAAATATAGAAAATAAACAATGTTTATTTGACATTCTCTGTATAAATCTACAATAGATTCTGGTTTTTTGAGCAAACCTCAAGGATGGAAAGTTACAAAAGTGAGAATGAACACAGTGAACTTCCCTTCTATAAAACACATTAAGAGGAAAGAAGAGCAATATATTTAGGTTTAAGATCAGATGACCCTTTTATACCATTATGACTATAGTTAATAACAATGCCTTGGGTATTTGAAATAGCTGAAAGTAGATCTTAAATGTTCTCACCACAAAAAAGATAAGTACGTGAGGTAATGGATATATTAATTAGCTTGACTTAGCCATTCCATAATGGTATACATATATCAAAACATCATGTTATACACCACAAATATATATAATTTTTGTCAATTCATAAATAGAAAATTAAATATATGAAAGGAGAAAAATGATCAGATGACTCTAATTTTCATCTCATACAATTGGCCTTCCTGACTTCTCTAGGAATTGCTTATTTGTGCAGCTTGAAATTGTACTTAAACTACTTCGTCACAATGCTGGCTCGTTTGTTTTGTATACTTAAGTCATTTTTAACTTACATCTCAAAATGTAATGTAATATAGCTGGCCCTCTCTAGCCATAGGTTTTGTATTAGTGGGTTTTGCATCTGTGAATTCAACTGAGGATTGAAAATATTTGAGAGGGGAAAAAGAAATGATTGCGTCCCCACTGAACGTGTGTAGTCTTTATTTTTTTGTACTTATTCACTAAGCAATACAGTATAACAACTATTTACATAGCTTTTACATTGTATTAGGTATTATAAGTAATCTAGACATGATTTAAAGTATATGGGAGGGTGTGAGTAGGTTATATACAAATATTATACCACTTTATATAAGGTACTCAAGCATCCTTGGGATTTGGTATCCTGGGGGAATAAGGGGCCTGGAACCAGTCTTCATGGATACTGACAGACAACTGTATGATGCTCCTTTTATTTTTATTTTATTTGTCTTAATCAATTCCTTCTTTGTGGTTTTTATTTCATAGAGACAGAGATCAGTGAGTCTGGCATGACAGTGAGAAGTACTGGCTCTGCAACTTCCTTGGCTAGCCAGGGAGAGAGAAGGAGACGAACTCTTCCCCAGCTTCCAAATGAAGAAAAGTCTCTTGAGAGCCACAGAGCAAAGGTTGTAACACAGAGGTCAGAGATAGGAGAAAAACAAGACACAGAACTTCAGGAGAAAGAAACACCTACACAGGTATACCAGAAAGATAAACAAGATGCTGACAGACCCTTGAGTAAAATGAACAGGGCAGTAAATGGAGAGACTCTCAAAACTGGTGGAGATAATAAAACCCTACTTCACTTAGGCAGCTCTGCTCCTGGAAAAGAGAAAAGTGAAACTGATAAGGAAACTTCTTTGGTAAAGCAAACATTAGCAAAACTTCAACAACAAGAACAAAGGGAGGAGGCTCAGTGGACACCTACTAAATTGTCTTCCAAAAATGTTTCAGGTCAGACAGATAAATGTAGGGAGGAAACTTTTAAACAAGAATCACAACCTCCAGAAAAAAATTCAGGACATTCTACAAGCAAAGGAGACAGAGTGGCACAAAGTGAGAGCAAGAGAAGAAAAGCTGAGGAAATTCTGAAAAGTCAGACTCCAAAGGGAGGAGACAAGAAGGAATCCTCCAAGTCATTAGTGCGACAAGGGAGCTTCACTATAGAAAAACCCAGCCCAAACATACCCATAGAACTTATTCCCCATATAAATAAACAGACTTCCTCTACTCCTTCTTCTTTAGCATTAACATCTGCAAGTAGAATACGAGAAAGAAGTGAGTCTTTGGATCCTGATTCTAGTATGGACACAACCCTTATTCTAAAAGACACAGAAGCAGTAATGGCTTTTCTAGAAGCTAAACTACGTGAAGATAATAAAACTGATGAAGGACCAGATACTCCCAGTTATAATAGAGACAATTCTATTTCACCAGAATCTGATGTAGATACAGCTAGTACAATCAGTCTGGTTACTGGAGAAACTGAAAGAAAGTCAACCCAAAAGCGAAAGAGTTTCACTAGCCTCTATAAAGATAGGTGTTCCACAGGTTCTCCTTCCAAAGATGTTACAAAATCATCATCTTCAGGTGCTAGGGAAAAAATGGAAAAGAAAACAAAAAGTCGTTCCACAGATGTGGGTTCAAGAGCAGATGGTCGTAAATTTGTTCAGTCCAGTGGGAGAATAAGACAGCCCTCAGTAGACTTAACAGATGATGACCAAACCTCTAGTGTACCTCATTCTGCCATCTCTGATATTATGTCATCTGATCAAGAAACTTACTCTTGTAAACCTCATGGACGGACTCCACTTACCTCAGCTGATGAGCATGTACATTCCAAACTGGAAGGAAGTAAAGTAACGAAATCTAAGACTTCTCCGGTGGTATCTGGTTCATCTAGTAAATCAACCACCCTTCCAAGGCCACGACCTACCAGGACTTCCCTCTTGCGCAGAGCACGACTTGGTGAAGCTTCAGACAGTGAACTTGCTGATGCTGACAAAGCATCTGTTGCTTCTGAAGTATCCACAACAAGTTCTACATCAAAACCTCCCACAGGAAGGCGTAACATCTCTCGGATTGATTTATTGGCTCAGCCTCGTAGAACACGACTTGGCTCACTGTCAGCTCGTAGTGACTCTGAAGCAACAATTTCTAGAAGTAGTGCCTCTTCGAGGACCGCAGAAGCCATCATTAGAAGTGGAGCCAGACTAGTACCATCAGATAAATTTTCTCCTAGAATTAGAGCTAACAGTATCTCTCGACTCTCAGACTCCAAGGTCAAAAGTATGACCTCAGCTCATGGCTCTGCTTCAGGTAAATTGGATCCAGATTTCTAATAGCATTAGCATGTTGTATATTTGGGGGCTCCTTTTTTTTTTTAAAAAAAAAAGTAAGGTTCTAGTTGTCTTCCCAAGATACTCATTCAAAACAAAAGTTATGATATACGGGGCAGCGGCGGTGGGGGGTCTATAAAACAGTTTTATTTAGCATAGTAAATGGAAAATCAGAAGTTATACATACTTCCAATTAGAGTCCTGGCGCAAAATAGTGATTTCAAAACTAGGAATTCATTGAGCTGATTTAGGAGTTTTAATTTTCCAGTTGGTGCTATATTTGGATGTGTGTGTCAAAATTAAATTATCTGGAAGTATCTGGTTTAAAGTATAGGAATTAACATTGTGCTTCTAAAAGCATGTGTTTAACCTTTAAATATCCTCACATAATTCAAAGCCCTTAAGAACTTGAAGAAAAGCAGTATATGCTTTATTACTCCTTTCAGAGTTAAATGAAATAATCAATGTTTTCTTTTTTTTCCCTACCCATTTTGAAATGTCTCACATACTTTACCTATACTTTTTAAAGTTAAATCTGTTTATAGTTGGAGCAGGTGAAAACTAACCTTAATTTATTTCAGTGGAAGAAGATGGATTCATGGGGAATCACTCAGCGTATATTGGCCAAACTGGGCTGTAGAAATTTAACTGGTTATGAGCATTATCTCACAAAGTGCTGTTATATCATTTAACTCTAGTAATTAGGTGTAATTGAATATAATAACTACAAAAACTACTTACTTTCCACCAGAATTTAACTGATGCTGTTATATTTGTTTGCTTATGTGCTTTGTATTCAGAGCTGAGGCCATTGAGATACATGTGTGACCAAAGAGTAATGAGGTGGATATTTGTTTGTGTCCTATATGCATGTTCTCATTACTTCATAATGAGCCTCATATGTGGACGTGGCTGCAAAGGCCAGTGTGGGAGGCCAGCTGTTACAACGGACATGAAGATGTGTGATTATTTTCAGTAGGCAGACATCTAAGTAAGCCCTAAGTCTTGAGTTAAGAGTGGAGGGGAAGTTGATATGAAATTTCATCTTTTTATTTTTGATTGGTTTACATCTACCACACCATCTCCTACAAGACCCTAAAGGAACAGTACTTTGCATATGATACTTTTTTCACTTTTCTTCCTCTTTTCACTGCTGCTTTCCTCCACTCCATTCACCTGTATCTCTTTGCTGGTCAGTGGGTTTGGTAATGATGGTCACTGTCTATGGTAGAAATGGACGTAGGGTGAAGCCAGATAGCATATAATCATGATTCCAAAAAAAATAGACAACATTTTCCTTATTACCCCAGTCCTCATTTCCACACTTGAAGCTTTGGTTGGTGGTTCACAAATTTATTGCCAAATATTTTAAAACTAACTACTACATTTTGGTTTATTTTCATTCTGTTTTTGGTTATGGCTCTACTTCAATTCACATTTCATCTGTGCTGCATTTCCTGATGAAATTTCTTCTGCTGTACTCCTTGTTTTATCACCTCATCTCCATTAAGATATGTATGTATTTTCCTGTCTTAACATAATTTCTATGTTACCAGATAGCTTGGAGTACCTCTTAACACATGATGTGGTTTTATTCCTCGATATTTAGGATAAGGCTTGAGATGCAAGCTAAATATGATTACTTCAGCAAGTCTAAGAAACAACTGTAAGATGCTATATATAAAGACAGATTTCATTTTCTGCTTCTTTGAATACAGAACTTGATAAATACTCAGTTTTCTGTGTCCAAAAATAACCTTGAATTGTGTATGAAATTCCCTAGGACACATTGATGTATATGATTTTAGTCTTTTCATACTTACTAGCAGTATATTAAATAATTAGAATCATGGAATTTAAAAGTTAGAAGGGTTATTCTCTTAAGGGAACCAAGGCCAAGAGAGGAAATAACCTGCCCTGGGCACATGGCAGTGGCAGGGGCAGAATAAGAATCAAAGACTTTTAATCCCCAGCCTGTTTTTCTACCGTATCTATTCTAGCTCTAAGAAATAGTTTCAGTGTTTACTTGTATGCAAGCTTCCAGAAGACAGCTAGAATCTACTGGATTATTATCAGGAGTATATGCAAGGTCAATATACAATATAAAGGTTTTGGTATTGTTTACTAAAATCTTTGCAGTTCTGATGTTTTACCCAGTTTATATTCTCTATTCCACCTTATGAGTGTAAAGCCATATTGTAATCTAGGATTGTATATTCAGATTCTCTCAAGATACCCACTTATAGTATTAGACCTTATCTAGGACAGTGGCCAGGATCTTTCCTTCAGTGAGAACATACTATAATAGCTGTATGGAAAAGGTGGTCAAACAAACAAACCTACCTGTTTGATTTTGCTAATTTGGTGCCTTTGATATTATAACATTTCTTTTTAAGATAATTATAATATTTTGAATGGAAAAAGAAAAGCAAAATTTTAACTTTTGAAACATGATTTAAAAGAATGTTAAATCATGCCGATCAGTGTTGCTGTGCACAGTATAAACTTTAAAGACCTTGGAAATAATCTGAACCTAGCACTTGTGATATTGTCCCAATTGGATATGTAAAAATAATTCCATAATGTTTCCAATTCCATATTTTAGATGATGTCTCTAAAATATTTTTAGGCCAGCACAGTGTTTCATGCCTGTAATCCCAGTATTTTAGGGGAGGCCAAAGTTAGAGGATTACTTGAGCCCAGGAGTTCAAGGCTGCAGTGAGCTGTGATCACACTACTGCATTCCAGCCTTGGACAAGTGAGACCCTGTCTCCATTAAAAAAAAGTTTTTTTTAAAGAAATGTATGTGATAAAAATAGAAGATTGGAAATCTCAGATTTAGCAATATGAAGAGAAGAGTTCTGTATGTTTCTCTGATGTAATTTGCAATTTGCTTCTAGGAGTTTAACTAGTTTTTTTTTCCCCAAAACATTCTTTCAGTGCTTCTTTTTTTTTTTTTTGAGACGGACTCTTGCTCTTGTTGCCCAGGCTGGAGTGTAATGGCACAATCTCGGCTTACTGCAACCTCTGCCTCCTGGATTCAAGTGATTCTCCTGCCTCAGCCTCCCAAGTAGCTGGGATTACAGGCGTGTGCCACCATGCCCGCCTAATTTTTGTATTTTTAGTAGAGGAGAGGCTTCACCATATTGGGCAGGCTGGTCGGTCCTCCCGTGTCAGCCTCCCAGAGTGCTGGCATTACAGGCATGAGCCACTGCGCCCAGTCTCCTTCAGTGATTCTTGATATCAAGTTGTAACTGAAATATCCAGATTTATTTTGGCAAGATATATTTAAATTTAAAGACCTTGAATTATCAAAATAAAGCACTTGGTTTTCATTATGTTTTAAGTGCACATTTTAGAAAATAAAAACATTATGTTAATATCCTTAGAATTTTTTGAGACTGTTTGCAGTCCCTTTTTAATTCTAATCTTCAAAATTTATAGGCAGTAGAAATTAAATGTTAGACATGCATGGCTTGAGTTAACTCTTTCTCCAGGTCAAAGGACAAAACAGAGCATTGTCAGCAGTTTTTCTCCCCAGCTGATCTTATTGCTGAATGCTCATAAATATACATTCAAAACATGTTTGTGGTAATTTTCCACTAAAATATTCTGATATTGTATGAAGATGCAATGTGTGTTTTCTGAAGCGTGTTTGCAAAATCTATAGTTGTATGTTTTAATGCCAACAAAGAAATTGGAACATTCACAGAAATATGATACTAACAACTCTTTTTTTCCTTTTTAAGTCTCTAGACATCATAAATGATAGTATGTTTTTGTAGTGAATATAGTAGTTTAGTACTACAACACAAGAGGGAATGTTGCCTATTTTATAATTAAAAAATAAATTTTGTAATGAATGCTGTAGCTCTAGCTACAAGCTTAATCAAGCCCATCTTGGAACTTTCATTTTAATATATATGCTGTCTAGGCCTTTACTAACGAATAAGTCTCTTAGAGATAGGCATTTCAGACACCTTCCAATGCCTTAGTAATATCAACCCATCAAATGAGCCTAATAATATATTAAGAAAATCAAATTTATTTTTATAAATTGTTACTTAAGCTGAATAAAATTCAAGAGAAAGAAATAAATTTTTTCTTCAACACAGGTAGATATCAGAAAAACTATCATTACATGAGAAATTTAGGATGTCTTTTTAAAACAACTTGGCTGGGCACAGCGTCTCATGACTATAATCCTAGGACTTTGGGAGGCTGAGGCAGATGGTTTACCTGATGTCAGGAGTTCGAGATCAGCCTGGCCAACATGGTGAAACTCCGTCTCTACTAAAACTACAAAAATTAGCCAGACATGGTGGCAGGTGCCTGTAATTCCAGCTACTCTGGAGGCTGAGGCAGGAGAATTGCTTGAACCTGGGAGGTGGAGATTGCAGTGAGCCAAGATGGCGCCATTGCCCTCCAGCCTGGGTGACAGAGGGAGACTCCATCTCAAAAACACACACACACACACACACACACACACACACACACACAAAACCGGAAACAAAAATGTAGAATGTATACAACACTTGGAATAACAGAGAATTCGTTTTGAACTCTGGGAGTCCATAGACCTGGCTTATACTTTGATTTCAGCAAGGTAAGACCTCTCTGGGCCTGTTTCTTCTCTTTAAATGGAAGAATTTAGACTCATGTCAAAGGCCATTCTTCTAAAATTTTATGAAATAAGTAGATGGGGGGAAATTTAAAATATTTTAACTTGAAGTTTATTTGGTGTTAATTAGCAGGTGATAGGGAATTTTCTTTAGAAGAAAAAAGGTTAGGTAGCTGCTATAGTTTGGAAGCAAATGTTAAGAAAGAAAGTTTTGAAATAAATTCTTTGAGAAATAACAGGTTAGAGGGCCTAGCATTGAACTCCCTTTCCCAGTCCCTTCTCCACCAGTAGCCATCATTTCACTCAGTCTCAGCTCTGCTCTTTGTCGTTACGCAGACTGTGTCCAGAGTTAACTGGAGCTTTTCTTCATAGCATCCCATGTGTGATATGTTTTCCACTGGCAAAGGGAGCTCTTAATTACTTAATGATTTTTAATCACATTTTTATTTCTCTGCTGTATGCTGATTATCCAGTTTCCTCCTCAATTTTAAAGAACATACCTAAAGATGTTACCTTTTACTTTTTAAAATATGCTGTATTCGTTTGATTTTTTTCTTTTTGTTTTGTTTTTGTTTTTGAGATGGAGTCTGGCTCTGTCACCAGGCCACAGTGCAGTGGTGCGATCTCAGCTCACTGCACCCTCCGACTCCAGGGTTCACGTAATTCTCCTCTCTTAGCCTCCCGAGTAGCTGGGATTACAGGCGCGCCCTACCACGCCTGGCTAATTTTTGTATTTTTAGTAGAGATGGGGTTTCACCATGTTGGCCAGGAGGGTCCCGATCTCTTGACCTTGTGATCCTCCCACCTCAGCCTCCCAAAGTGCTGGGATTACAGGCGTTAGTTAGCCACTGTGCCCGGCCCCTGATTGCTTTTAAAAGATATTATTAGTAGCTTTACTATTCTTACTGACTTCTAGGTAGACCAGCCTATGAAAAGAGATGGAAAGTTTGTGAAAAGGAAGTTTTTCTCGTACTTTTTTCCTCAAAATGTAATTGCATTTTGATCCTAAGCTCAGACTATTAAAAGTTGATTCTAGCATGGCTCTACTTATATGTGATCACCTGACATTTAACGTATATTAATAGCACTTGGTACTCAATTTCTCCTTCTGCTTTCATGTAGTCTGCCACGAAATGTATCAGCCATCGATGCCATTCTTTCTAAGTTACCTCAAAATTAACTGTCTGAGTTTTATCATACTTACGTTTTCATATGTTCTGCAGTTATTAAAGCTCTTTGTTAATTGCTTTTCTTTTCTCTCTAGTTTCCAATCATATGTATAGTGACCATAGTTGCCTCATCAAAAATCAGAACATTTGATGTAACAAATGATTTTTTTCTTATTTATGAACACTATTGTAAGATAGCACAAGAAACACACATTTAGCATTTAATGAAATGTTTTTTTGAAACGTACAAATTTGTTTACACTATTTCTGATTTTGCCTGCCGTATTTCTTAATTTTTTTCTAAACCTCTTTACTCTTGTTCTAAACTTTTCCTAAAATTGGTTTCAAGTCTCAGGATCACTTCAACTCACAGAAGTTTTTTTATCTAGAAATGAGCACATTATCACCATGGTAAAAGTATTATCTATGTTAATAAATTATCTTACAGTGTTAAAATCAGAAATTATATTTAAGCTCCTCAAAAAAGGTCTATGACTAATTACCTAGTATATGCATTTGCATACACTTTTACAGAGAGCCATGAACTTTCTGCATATGTTCATTCTGTCATACCTATGAATGAATCTAGTTCCAAACATCAGGATCTGTAAATAGGGGTGTGAATAAGGACGAATCGATAGGCTCTAATTTATGGCATATTCCTCGTTGTAGAGTTCTCTGTTTCTTAAGCCAGTTCTGGTGGCAATATATGCCAGTTTTATCTGAGAGCAACCTCAGCCTTAGAGATCCCCAGCTGAAAATGTAGTTTTTGGAGGAAAAGACATAAAAGGCATAAAATTAGAGTGGAGGAATTTCTGGATTCTGTGCAGCTTAGGGTCAGTTTCTATTAAAAAGGAAGAAGATGCTAAGGTTTTTTCACTTTAAACACCAATAACATTTAATGCTTTTCACTAGGTTTCGGAAAAGTAAATGTTTACATCCAGGAATTCTTACATTTTTTTCAAAAATATTTGTTAAACATTTGCTAGCCAACACTCAGCTAAGTGCTAGGTATACATTATTGGATTAAACAGACATGGTTCCTGC
Source organism: Homo sapiens (assembly GCF_000001405.40). NCBI lineage: Eukaryota > Metazoa > Chordata > Mammalia > Primates > Hominidae > Homo > Homo sapiens. Next base: position 169,534 of record NT_187519.1, on the reverse strand, counting down.
CCTTGTTAGGTTTACCAGGAATTAGCCATTATCTCTCTTTTTACCTCTATTTATGCTTCACAAATTATTTGTATGTTTGATTCTCATATTAACAGTAGTAAAGTGTCTGCCTTGTCTTCTGATTTTTTAAATGTGTGAGCAATACCATTTTTTAATGTCTTTACTAACTGTAAATAAGAAAGTGATTGCCACTTTCTTTAATGTGACTCTTCACAGTATCTCCTGTGCCTTCAGTGTCAATGGTTGTGACAAAAGCTTGTACAGTTTTGCTTTTTGTAGATTTTATGCCATTGTCTATTTTCACCATATGCTTTCAGTGTCAAAGCAGCAGAGAGTTGTACTGAAGATGCTTTGTTGTGTTTTTTTACCACGTAAAAAGATTTTTTCCAACCATAGCGTAACAGGATGTTGAATGACAGAGGTAATGTTTTTTTTTCTGCCATAAAGGCATAATTTCCACAGCCGGAATTATGCACATCTGTATGTTGGGAAAAGAGAGTTTTTACCATCTCCATGTTGAAAGTCCATGTGGCATGAGGAAATCTTTTCCCTTGTTTTTATTTTTGTTGTCGTTGATGTTGTTACTGTCTTTTTTTTTTTGAAAAATTCATATTTTCACTCAAGTAAGAAATATTTGCAATTGAAAAGTACTCCAGTTAAACATCGATGGATAGAGCTTGCTTAGTTGTTTATCATTAGCGAAATTTTTCATCTGAATGTTTACTCACCACACTATGGAAAACATGGTCTTCCAATTGTTTTTGATTCTTCATTGTTTTTAATTCACCGAAGTGTAATGTTTCTATCTCTAAGGAGTAGTAGACTTATGGTTTTTGTGAGGTATGTGTACGTCAGTTATTGAAAATTGTGCCGTGTGTGCGCTCTCATGGTGTTTTGAAGTCATGACTTTTATTTTACCTCCTTTAAATGATAACATAATAATTCTTTTTTTAATAATTAAACTAATTTAGTAAATTCAAGATGGAGGCGCTTTCCTACTGATTATGCTTCCACCTCAGAAGATGAATTTGGATCAAACCGTAATTCCCCTAAACATACCCGTCTACGTACTTCTCCAGCCCTGAAAACCACTCGCTTGCAGAGCGCTGGATCAGCAATGCCTACTAGTTCTTCATTCAAACACCGGATTAAAGAGCAGGAAGACTACATCCGAGATTGGACTGCTCATCGAGAAGAGATAGCCAGGTTGGTTTTCAGGACTTATCTTTAAGAATTCAAAATTTCTATGAACATTACAACTTGGTAACAAAGTTTAGCTTGTACTTGATTTTTACTAATAGTCTAAGAACTGAAATCCACAGATAACTGTGAACTCCGTTTAGTCAGTAGTATTACTCTCTATCCAGCTTTTTTTCTTTTTTTTCTATGCCTATACCACTAACATATTGTAGAATTAATTTATTTTGACCTTTTCTGTCTCCCCCCCTCCCTTTTTAAGAATTTCTTTTAAAGATGGTGATAAGTAAGTGAAACTTTGAAAGGTAGGCAGTATCAGATCTACATAATTAAGAACTGCAGGCAATTTATGGATTACTTTCCTTTAAACTTCCAAAGATGTAATAGTATACCTTTTAGAGATGTGGCTACTGCTCTCTGGAGAGAATTAGGGTAAGCAGATTTTCACTCATACTTTATGAGCTCATTAAGTATGGGCAGTTCAACCGTTTAGTAAGTAAAACAAAATATGACTATTTTGAAGATTAAATCTGTTTATAGTAACCTTTAGATTATGTACAAAAAAAATTTATGCTGCAGATATGATTTTTAATTAATAACTTATGGAAATTAATAACTTACTATGGCTGAACTTTGAAGAGAGATTATACTCAAGCAGATACTATAGTAGTTAAAATATAAGGATTTTTTGTTTAAAGTTTGTGAGATGTTAGATTTTACTGCAGTATACCATATGTTACCTAAACATTTTCACTGTATACATACTAAGCTTACTTCTGTCTTTAAGACCTTAATCTTCAAGTTGTATACTTGAGGACATTATTAAAGAGTTTATACATAATATTTCATAGATGCTTTTAAAAAACAAGAAACTTTTACTCTATGTTAATGTTCATCTTTTTTGTTCTTTATTTCATTGACTTCTGTGAATTGTGTTTTTTCTGGCTCATTGGTTTGATGTAATGTTTAGTTTTTTATTTTTAAAGACTATTCACTTGTCATCGCTTTTATTCTTGGAGAGAACATGCCTTTCTAATCTCATCGTGCTGCTTAAAACATTTTTGCTTTATCATACAAATAGCTTTTTAGGAGAGTAATTAATGAAGCATTTTAAGCCAGTTGTTCTAGTTAGAGGAAAGGCATATATGTACTTTGGGATCCATGGATCATTATGGGCCAACAAAATGCTTGTAGTGAGAGCATCTTGACACATTTTTTTGTACTTCCAGGCGCTGCTAGCAACAACAGGTCTTACTCTTGTCTCATCATTTTTCCCCTTCCCTTGAAAAAGATGTCCAGCTACACAAGATCCAGTGGTGCCTGTATGTCTAGATGCCTCCTGGCAGGAGGCCTCCTCTCTCAAGCTCCCTCTACCCCAAACTAGAAAGACTAAAAACCTTCTTCTGAGCCAAATACACTTCCCTACCCCCAAATAAAAAAACAGTTGTAATACAAAGAGAAGAGGGAATAAGGGCTATACACTGTATTTTCACTTGGTTCCATTTTGCTATGTGCATAGTGTTACTATTATCAATGTGTACTTTTTATTATCTATGGCAGGACTTTAAGAACAGGCTATTTAACCTACAGTGATGTTCATGCCTTATCCCTCTAGTTTGTCAGTAGCACTATGCTAATAAAACTTGCCTTTGGGATTTTAATTTTTCAAGTTATACTTTCTAGCTATATATCTCAAAGCCAGAGAAGTGGTTTTTTTGTTTGTTTTATGTGGAGAAAAAAGGAGGGTGGTGGAAGGAAGGAAAGATACAAAATATGGAAGGAAATGTGGATATTTAATGTTTCTATAGAGCAGTGATAAGTTTGCTTAGGGTGAGAAAATGTATTTTCAAATGGCTATGAATCACAAACTAAGTAGAATATGAGAAATAATTTTATTTATTTAAATGAACTACTGTCACCTAAAAGACTCCTGTGCTGAGAGCAATATTTGAAGAGTAATAGATAAAGACACTTTTATTTGAAAAAGATAATAGTGATTTTTAATTTATTACAAAAATGTTTTATGCTTTAGCATACTCTTTCTGTTTAGAATTTAGGACTATTTCACTTGATCAGCACTTTGTTAATCTGTACATAGTAACTGTTTACCTGCATTTAAATTTAAAGCACAAAAGCAAGCTCCATTTAGAATATGAAGTGTATAAGCGAGATATGGCATATTTGGTCTTCAGTTTGATGAGGGAAGGTTTCTTTCAGGTATCCCTGATGCATATGCTTTGGTAGCTCCTGCCTCAGTTTCTCTGTTATGAAAACAGATATTGACTTCCATCGAGTAGGAATGTAAGACATGATGCAGGTTTTTATGAATATTAGGGTAAACAGAGCTACAATACCAGCTTTACAGATAACCAAATGAAATACATTCAACCTAAAAATTATACTGGAAGATTATCTACAGTAACACCTCGAAGATAGTACAGGTTTGGTTTCAGACCGCTATAGTAAGGCAAATATCTCAAAGCAAGTCACACAGTTTTTTTTTCCTAGTGCATGTAAAAATTATGTTCACACTATACTGTGTGCAGTAACACTGCTTCTTAAAAAAAGTATATACCTAAACAAGTAAATATTTTATTAGTAAAAAACAGTAGTGATCATCTGAGCCTTCAGTAAGTCATCAGCTTTTTGTTGGCATAGGGTCTTACATCCCTGCTGATGACTGTGGACTTATTCAAGGGCAGTGGTTGCTGAAGGCTGGGATGACTGTGGCGATTTCTTAATTAAAAGAAGACAACAGTGAAGTCTGCCACGTTGATTGACTCTTCCTTTCATGAAAGATTTCCTTGTAGCAATGTGATGCTGTTTGATAGCATTTTACCCAGAGTAGAACTTCTTTCAAAACTGCAGTCAGTCCTCCCAGACCCTGCCGCTGGCTTATCGACTGAGTTTATGTAATATTCTGAATCCTTTGTTGTCATCTCAACAGTGCTCACAACAGCTTCACCAGTAGATTCTATTGCAAGATACCACTTTCTTTTCCCATCCATAAGAAGCAACTTCTCATCTGTTAATGTTTTATCACGAGATTGCAGCAATCCAGTCCCATATTCAGGCTTCACTTCTAACTCTAGTCTTTCTAGTTCTGTTTCTGTTTCCACCATATCTGCAGTGACTTCCTCCACTGAAGTCTTGAACCCTCAAAGTCATCCATGAGGGTTGGAATCAGTTTCTTCCAAACTCCGGTTAATCTTGATATTTTTACCTCCTCCATGAATCACAGAAGTCCTTAATGGCATGTAGAATGGTGAATCCTTTCCAAAAGATTTTCAGTTTACTTTGTCCAGATCTATTAGAGGAATCATTACCTATGACAGCTATGTCTTGCAAAATGTTATTTCTTAAATAAAGGAATACATTTTCTGCTTAGAAGACAAAACGGGCCAGGCACGGTGGTTCACGCCTGTAATCCCAGCACTTTGGGAGGCCGAGGCAGGCAGATCACGAGGTCAGGAGATAGAGACCATCCTGGCTAACACGGTGAAACCCCGTCTCTACTAGAAATAGAAAAAATTAGCTGGGCATGGTGGTACGTGCCTGTAGTCCCAGCTACTCGGGAGGCTGAGGCAGGAGAATTGTTTGAATCCGGGAGGCAGAGGTTGCAGTGAGCCGAGATTGTGCCGCTGCACTCCAGCCTGGGTGACAGAGCGAGACTCTATCTCAAAAAAAAAAAAAAAAAAAAAAAAAAAATGGCTGGGCGCGGTGGCTCACGCCTGGAATCCCAGCACTTTGGGAGGTTGAGGCGGGTGGATCACGAGGTCAGGAGATTGAGACGATCTTGGCTAACATGGTGAAACCCCATCTCTACTAAAAATACAAAAAATTAGCCGGGCGTGGTGGCGGGCGCCTGTAGTCTCAGCTACCCTGGAGGCTGAGGCAAGAGAATGGCGTGAACCCAGGAGGCGGAGCTTGCAGTGACCCGAGATGGCGCCACTGCACTCCAGCCTGGGCGACAGAGCGAGACTCCGTCTCAAAAAAAAAAAAAAAAATCAAAATGGCTCCTTGATCCATGGGCTGCAGAATGGATGTTAGCAGGTATGAAAGCAACATTAATCACCGTGTACATCTCCATCAGAGCTCTTAGGTAACCAGGTACATTGTCCATGAGCAGTAATATTTTGCAAATAATCATTTTTTTCTGAGCAGTATGTCTCTACAGTGGTCTTAAAATATTTAGTAAACCACACTGTAAATATGCCATAATCCAGGCTTTATTGTTCCATTTGTAGAGCACAAGCAGAGTAGATTTAGCATAATTCTTAAGGGCCCTATGACTTTTGGAATGGAAAATGAGCATTGGCTTCCAACATAAAGTCACCAGCTACATTAACCCCTAACAAGAGAGTCAGCCTGTCCTTTGAAGCTTTGAAGCTGGGCATTGCCTTCTCTCTGGCTCTGAAAGTCCTAGATGGCATCTTCTTCCAATAGAAGGCTGTTTTATCAACATTGAAAATCAGTTGTTATTATAACCATCTTAATCAATTATCTTAGCTAGATCTTCTGGATAAGTTGCTACAGCTTCTATATCAGCACTTGCTGCTTCTCTGTGCACTTTCATGTTAGGGGGATGGTTTCGTTCCTTAAGCCTCATGAACCAACCTCTGCAAACTTTTCTTCTGCAGTTTCCTCACCTCTGTCAGCATTCACAGAATTGAAGAGAGTTCAGATTTTGCTCTGGATTAGTTTGGCTTAAGGGAATGTTGTGGCTGGTTTGATCTTCTATCCAGACCACTCAGACCTTGTCCATATCAGCATTAGGCTGTTTTGCTTTCTTATCATTCCTGTGTTCACTAGAGTAGCACTTTTAATTTACTTCAAGAACTTTTCCTTTGCATTCACAACTTGGCTGTATGGCACAAGAGGCCTAGCTTTTGATGATTGCCAGAATAGTAAGACAGAATTTAAAATGGTTCCATGGTTGATCAGATGGGAGATTAGTGGGAGTAGGGAACACAAAAGGCATGGGAAAAGAAGATAGGTTGTATTTTGGTCATACTGACACCAACATGCCTAAAGGATAGCCCTGTGAAAAAAGCTAGCAGACAGTTGAACTGCGGCTGTGAAACAGGAAGCCGTGAGGGCTAGACTCATCGTTGTAGTCATTCGTAAAGAGTAAATACTTGGAGCTATTGTAGTAGATGGTATCACCACGGAATGGTGAGGGAGCTGCAAATGCGGCTGAACTCTGAGATAACCTCAGTGACAGGGATGTGGTGTAGCTGAATGGTGAAGAATATGGACTCTGGACTCAGACCATATTCTTGGTCTGAGATTCAAACCCAACTCGACCACAAGGTCTGTGTGACCTAGGATGAGTTAATTAAATGTGTTCTAGTGATCTCATCGGTAAAATGGACGTAATGGTGCCAACCTGAGAGAGTCGACAAGTTGATGCACATACTTAACCTAGTGCTTGACATATAGTCAGTAGTCAATAAATGTTATATTTAAGAGGGATACAGAGAAAACCGTGGTTTATGATTATAGTTAGAACTTTATTTGGAGCTTTTAATTTTGTGTAGATCTCACACGTTTAAATTTATGAGAATCCAGATATAATTGGAATTTCAGAATCAGCATTACATTCTACAGTTTATAAAATGCTGGGCTTACCTTATTTGTGCTTAAGAATCCCAGCCAATGCTTTGTTCAAATTTCCGTCCAAACTTATTTATTAAAAAATTTTTTGTCCTCCTAGTAAAAACAGTGGTATATAAGTAGTTTGTTTTTTAATATTAAAGTGATCGTTAAATAGCTGTGTCAGCTGGGCGGGGTGGCTCACGCCTGTAATCCCAGCACTTGGGAGGCCAAGGCAGGCGGATCACCTGAGGTCAGGAGTTGGAGACCAGCCTGGGCAACATGGTGAAACCCCATCTCTACTAAAAATACAAAAATTAGCCGGGTGTGATGGCATGCACCTGTAATCCCAGCTACTCGGGTGGCTGAGGCAGGAGAATCGTTGAAACTTGGGAAGCGGAGGTTGCAGTGAGCCGAGATCACGCCACTGCACTCCAGCCAGGGTGACAGAGCGAGATTCTGTCTAAAAAATAGATGTATCACGGAACACCTATCAGTCTCGTTCCCTGATTTGTTGGCCCCAAATGAAACTCACTTGGCATTGTAAGACAAAAAGCTTTTATTATTACTAAGTCTTTTACACATAATTTTATTAGTGAAATTCAAGTAAAAAGAATACTGATCAAATATATTTGAAAACATTTTAAAATAGAACTGTGGTTTATGTTTTTCAAAGCCTAAAATATGTACAGTTAAAGTTATGAATGAGTGATAATCTTAACAGTAAAAAACCAAATTACTTGTAATTTTACTACATTATTAAAAGCTTTGTGCTTTTATTGTTTTGTTGGTAGGAACCAATTTAATTTAGTTGTCAGAATTCAATGGTGTGGGTTTTCTTATTGTCTGTAAGGTAATATAATGCTTTTCTGTGTATTGCAATTCAGCTAACAAGTCTTCAATTATAATATAATTGAAGGATATACTACATTTTGGGTTGTAATTGGAGGTGAGCTTTGATAATACCAAAATGTTTTTTGTTTTGGAGAAAATATTATGGATATAAAAACTACCCTAATCAAGCAATAAGGCATATCTGCCAAGTCAGTTTGAAGACATCATTTGTGGATTGATAATATCTCAAGTCTAGGCCCTGTTATTTTGTTGGGCTAGGTCAGATCCAAACAGCAAGAGTAGGGAAATAAACCACCTGCCCACAGGTTCAGATGACAGTGATTCTTCAGTTTCTCTGTAGTTTTCCACATTTCCTAGAACTTCATTATTCCTTCCTCATAGTCTGTACCTAAGTCTCTAAAAATACTCTGGCTATCTCAGGTCTTGTTTATTGAGTAAATACTTTGCTGTCAGATGGCGTCAGACCATCTTCTTTTAACCTGCCGATTTTGTCTCTGGTGGAGATAGCATAGGTTTGCTAAAACCTTTAAAGTTATCCTCTTAATTACATCTTTATTTGTGACTGCCTCTGCTTATCTGAAGCATATTCATCAGTCTAGTTTCGAGACTAGAATCTTTCTACATTTTACCAAATGTAACTTATCTGTAGCGATAAACATTTCATTCACAATAATGGGAGGTGCCTTTAAAAAAATTAAATCTCTATCTCTTTTGATGGCTAGAAGTAGACTCCATGTACTTTATTCAAACTGCTTTTCTAATCAGGCCACTCATTAAATTGCTCTTGCTGCCCAAAAGAAACCTCCAATTTCAACTCATTATTATCCCATCCTAAATCTTTTGTGGCTCAGTGTAACTCTTTCCCAGTTCTCCATACTTTTGTTGCATAAAGAATGGGGTTTGCCAAATTTTTTTCATTAAGGTCTTCTATTATTGAATCAAAATGCCACTAACATCTAACAAATTAACTGACAGTTTCCACTGATGGAAGAGAAAGATCTTTCCTTATCATTAGGAAACTTTTTTTTGTGAACCTTCTTTATAGTTGGTATGTAAGTCAAATATATGAGTTAATCAATACATGAATTAAACTTTGAGCCTCTTGCCTGGACTTCTTATTCTTTATTGTACTGTGAGATCATGGAATCATTCATAACTATTGCTTTGTAAATACTAAATAAATTTTTAAAATTATGTTATTTTATTTTGAGACAGAGTCTCACTGTCACCCAGGCTGAAGTGTAGTGGCGCGATCTCAGCTCACTGCAACCTCTGCCTCCCAGGTTCAAGCAATTCTTGTGCCTCAGCGTCCTGAGTAGCTGGGATTACGGGTGTACACCACCATGCCTTGCTAATTTTTTTTGTATTTTTAGTAGAGATGGGGTTTCACCATGTTGGCCAGGCTGGTCTCAAACTCCTGAGCTCAGGTGATCCGCCCACCTCGGCCTCCCAAAGTGCTAGGATTACAGGCATGAGCCACCGCGCCCAGCTGATACTGATACCAAATAAATTTTGTTGAATAAATGATGCCTAGAGTCTTCCCAAATTTGTCTATGTCTCCTTTGTTTTTTGTTGTTGTTGTTTTGTTGGATTTTTTTTGAGACAGAGTCTCACATTCTGTTGCCCAGGCTGGAGTATAGTGGCATGATCTCGGCTCACTGCAACCTCCACCTCCCAAGTTCAAAGGATTCTCCTGCCTCAGCCTCCCGAGTAGCTGGGACTACAGGCGCATGCCACCATGCCTGGCTAATTTTTTGTAAAAGTAGAGACAGGGTTTCACCATGTTGGCCAGACTATTCTTGAACTCCTGACCTCAAGTGATCCACCTGCCTCAGCCTCCCAAAGTGCTGAGATTACAGGCGTGAGCCACTGTGCCCAGCCTCTTTTGTTTTTTAAAAGATACCTAGCTCGTTATCAGTAGGCCCTGAATAGTTTAAATGCTTAAGATTCCAAATTGAAAATTTTTAAGTCAAACTCTAAAAATTTTTACGTAGAAGTTCCTTGTCTTAGCCCCATTTTTACCTAGCTACAGTTAATTTTTTTGGGAAAAAAATTAGGATGTGAGAAATTGTATTTCTGTTTTATCATAATAGCATTATTCACTGTATAAGATACAGTCATCCAGTAATGAAACATTTCAAGGATCCATATATGGAAGTCAGTATTGCTTGTTTATATTCACACCTGCATATGTTGATTTCATTATACAATATTTTACCTCATTTTGAAAGTCATGGTTTAAGATACAGAACTCATGTGAATCACATTTCTAGGAAACCTTAAGTGAATTTCTTAAGATCTGCTTGAGCTGTTTACAGTGGTAACACATCTGTATGAAAGGCATGTCAAGAAGAACTGAAGATGAGATGTGGCTTCACAACAAGCCAAAGGCTGTATTAAAATTATGTGCTGTCTAATAAAAAAGAAAGAAGATATCCAGTTAAGTGGCAGAATAGCATAAATGTGGTTATGTTCATTGCTTTTAACAGCTGAGAAAAATAATCTTGAATAATGGGCCAAAACCAGGAAAAGGCTTCAGGGGAAAATGTAGTTACAAGTATTTACAAGGCATGTACATTTTTTAAAATTATAGCCTTATCACATTAAAGCCACATCTGGGTACTTTTTTATATACTAATAAAAATACTGTATTTTTATTTGTAGGCAGTGTAGTAATAAGAATACTGTCTTTTATTTGGAGATAGCATTTCCAAGTATGTATTTGACTTTGCTAAGCATTCATGCTTCGTAGCCAATGATACTGAGCATTCCATCTGGAGTGCCTCTAGATGGGGGATTCACAATTGGTCTTTACTGGTTAGGGGGGATTCACAATTGGTCTTTACTGGTTAGGGGGGATTCACAATTGGTCTTCACTGGTTAGGGAACATCTAGAACTTTTTGCTCATGCACAAAGTAAAAACCTTACATGTGCTGTTATATAAGTCCCGTTGGTGCCTGCATTCGTGTACTTTTTAACTTGACTTCTTACCGCCTCTGTGTGCTAGTATAGGGTCTCTTACAAGTGTACTTTTTCCTGCATTGTATAAGCAATGAGAATTTTAAATGAAGTGAAGTTAATTTGCTAATATCTCGGGTTTTTTTTTTTTTTTCTTCCCATGCCTTGTAAACCTTGAACCACTATACTTGTTCTATTTGAGGTGCAGGGGAGAGCATGAGTGAGTAATCACTTAGAAGGAAAAATACAAGCTAAACCAAATACTTAATGAAACAAAATTTGTTTTTACCCATGGAAATAAAAAACATTTTTTAGCCACATGCTTATGAATTTTTACTTTATACCTGCCTTTGAAATTTTGGGGCCTGATACAGGATCCTTGACTCTTTAAAAATAATATGGCTCTTCATTATTTGGCTGACTGGCTTTTATACCATTAGAAGGAATTGGGAAGGAGAGGGGTCGCTAATCTCTTCTGCGTTCTTCGCGAATCTCATTCCCGTGACCTCTGTTCAGATTAAAAGTCTCCCTGGTGCATCCTATTATAAATCATACTTTTTTATGAATCGCTGACCATATTTGTCACCATTGGGGAGGCAAATAAACCTAAAACACAGAGCCTGTGTTCCAAACGAGTTCATAATTTATACAAGGATTAAAAGCTAATTCATATCATTCTTACACCTTTACATCCTCACAGCTTAGCTCCCACTTACAAGTGAGAACATGTGGTGTTTGATTTTCCATTCCTGAATTACTTCACTTAGAATAATTGACGTTAGACTTTTTTTTCCTTATATTTTCTTTTTCCAGTTTTCCTGAGTACCTTTCATTTGATATCCCCTCTTTCCTCTTACAAAACTTTTTTTGCTTACTAAACTCTTCTAGATAGTGTGGAAACCATGAGCTTTTCTGGAATGACCCTTAAATGTCTCTCCTTAAACTCATTTTACATTTTAACACTTCTGGTCATTTACAAACTAGACTAAATTATTTCTTGAAAGCTGAGTCATTACAGTTATGATCTCTTAGCCCATGTTAAAGTAACAGGAGGTTTGACTTGCGGTCATAAGCTTTGGTTTTAGGATTCTAAAGCTAGTATACTTCATTAATAGCCCACCAGTTGCTTTTTTCCAGTAATATCAAAGGAAACTTAATTCCAGAGGTTCATGTGTGTATCCTCTGGAAAGTTTTACATGTAAAAACGTTTGAAAATGAATGTGCTATCAAAAAATAGGGCAAATTTTTGGCTGGGCGTAGTGGCTCACGCCTGTAATCCCAGCTCTTTGGGAGACCAAGGCGGGCGGATCACAAGGTCAAGAGATCGAGACCATCCTGGCCAACATGGTGAAACCTCATTGCTACTAAAAATACCAAAATTAGCCGGGCGTGGTGGTGCACGCCTGTAATCCTGGCTACTCGGTAGTCTGAGGCAGGAGAATCACTTGAATCCAGGAGGCAGAGGTTGCAGTGAGCTGAGATTGCACCACTGCACTCCAACCTGGCAACAGAGTGAGAGTCCACCTCAAAAAATAATAATAAGGCAAATTTTTAAATAGCTAATTTAAAACAATGTTTTGTTGGCAGTTTAAATCAATGAAGTCTGATAGTTTGTTTCTACTATAGTTGTAATAATATATAATCTTGCAAAGATTGTGTGTTTAATTGGGTATACACATAACTAGAACTCTAATTTTTAATATATCCTTTAATCTTCCAATATACCCAAATGTACAATTATTTTTTCCAGTATACAACCCTTCAGTGAAAAAAAAGTGTTATGACTGAGATAATTTACATAGGAAAATTATAAACTTTATGACTTAAAGTACATTTCTCATGTTATCTCACCATTTTTTCTTAAGTAATGCATACTTATTTCTACAGAATTGTTGAAATTGAGTCAGTGGTTCTGACACTTGGGAAAACATAAAGACTAGGACTAATGCTAGAGAACTGAACCCTTCTGTTTTGTTCCTTCAGCACTATTTTCTTATCCATATTTTGTAATAAAATGGAATTAAATGTGAAAATATCTATTAGGTTTTCAAATCAACAATATATGTTGTATATACGTTAAGAATTGCTCATTTTAATACATATTTTACTATATCACATGTGGAGATTGCTGTTGTCCATGTTTTTTCTAATTAATTTATACTGTTTTCCACAAATATTAGAAACTTCATTGTACAGATCGTCTGCATAAAAAATCCTTAATGAAAAATAGAGTTTTGGATACAATGATGCTTATCTGTATTTTATCTCATTAAGCTTGGTTATTCTGTTTCTTATTCTAGTTCATTTATTTTGGGGAATTGCAAGGATTTGCTATATTATATAAGGGAACACTTTAAACACATTTCAAAAGAATCACATCAACAGTTAATATGTTTTAAAAAATTATATATGGAGCAATCATGTGAGATGTAGCATGACATAGTGAAAAGATCTAGTTATGGCACTTAACTATGTGTGACCTTGGCCAAAAAAATGGTCGCATGTCTTCTCCTGTGCCTCATTTTCCTCATCTGTAGAACAAGATGATTAATACTTCTCTTACAGAGTGGTTGTGGGAATTAAATGAGTTGAGGACTATGAAGCTGCTTTATAATGTACTCATCATATTATAATGGTGCCTTCTGTGTATTCTAAGCTTCATGGGGACAAGGACCCTGTCTGCTTCTTCATTGCTGTAGTCTTTAGGACTTAGCACAGTGCCTGGCACATCATAAGCAATCAGTAAATATTTGTTGGTGTTTTTCCTGCCTCTTTGTGTTGATAAATAAATGAGGAATTAACTGACGTTTTTACAAAGTTTATATATTGACCATAAATTGGTTCTGTTGGTCCATAAACTTCAACTTAGTTCCCTTTTTAAATCTAAATTTTTATGTAATTACTAATGTGCTTGAAAGTCTTTCAAACTCACATTTTGCATAAGTTTAAAAAATGTTACTTTAAGCCAGGCATGTGTCTGTAATCTTAGCTATTTGGGAGGCTGAGTCGGAGGATTGCTTGAACTCAGGAGTTCGAGACCAGCCTGGGCAATATAACCAGACCTCCTAGGCTCTTTTTTTTTTTTTTCTTTTTAAGTTACTTTGTATTTCCTTTGGATTTTGAAGTTGCAGAAACTTTCATATATACTTTTAATAATATTCTGTCATTCCAAAACCTTCCCTGTGGAAATAGCCACATCGAGTTTATGGGCAGTAGATGCAGCTTGGAAAACGTTAATGTCTTATTGAAATGAAATGTTTCTCAAAAAACAAGAATATCAGTGGTAGGTTTTGTAAGTTTGTCCCTCTTAAAAAAAACTCTAAAAGAAAAATCTCTATTTTCACCTTTGATTATCACAGGTAACAGTTATTTAGTTCTTCAGTCCATGTAGGTAAAAATGCAAATGGCTTTATGGAAATGAGTACTAAAGCTTGGATCCAGTCCTGCCTTAGCTACATCTAAAGGTGTGATCATGAGCAAGCCATTCAGGTTCTCTGAGATTGTGATAAAGTCAGATGAATCCTACCTCAAAAGAACTTTGTGGGCCTCAAGTGACATAACATGTACTAGAAAGTGCTGTGCATAGTGTAAAGTGCTCTACGAAAGAGTGCAGGGTTCTTAATTTCTTGGTACTGTAGACCCCTTTGCCCATTTTGTGAAGCTTGTAGGGCCCTTCTCAGGTGTAAACATAAAAGAATTACAAAGAAATCCAATTATATTGAAATTCAGTTATCAAAATATTTGAAAGTAAGAGTAATTTATGGTTCTTTATTAACATTAAATAAAATGTTATTATTGTGTGTTTAATGACTTCAGTAGTTTTGAAGCAGTGATGACCATAAATGATGTTTAAATATACCCGTAGCAACTGTAATGTGATCTCTATTGATGACAAAAATCACCAGTATTGCTAATACCACTGTGATTTGTTGCCTGTATTTATAATTGAAAGAAATGCTAAGCGTCACTTAGAGGTTAGTGAATACATTGTAATTGTTTTTTCTCATTTAAGTTCATGAACTGCTTGAATTCTATCCATTATTCCCCAAGTTTAAGACCCCTGTGATGTATTAATGCTAGTCATTAACACAGTGTGTGTTAAGGGCATAGCTCTACTCAAGGGCTTTTAAAGTACATTTTTCAAGGTGATATCTTGTAGGTTATTTGGAGTTTAGTTTCATTAATCTTAATTTTGGAATTAAGGTTTAAGACTGATTATCAAAATAGTTAATAGTTAATTTGGGGTACAAATATTTAATTAGATATACAACTTACATGACTGATTATCTCATAAATGATTGTTTTTAGAGCTGTTTATTTAAAAGGGATTAAACTTCTTTTCTAAAATTATTACCAGGATCAGCCAAGATCTTGCTCTCATTGCTCGGGAGATCAACGATGTAGCAGGAGAGATAGATTCAGTGACTTCATCAGGCACTGCCCCTAGTACCACAGTAAGCACTGCTGCCACCACCCCTGGCTCTGCCATAGACACTAGAGAAGAGGTAGGAGATCTTCATGGAGAAATGCATAAGGTTCTTTCTTTTCTTTATTTCTTTTGCTTTTAGCTTTTTGCTTAGTTTATTTCAGTTATGTCCACCCTCCCTGTTTGCATGAAGCTCTGCATTTTCCAACTTTGCTTTAACAGTTTATTTTATGTTTTTGTAACAAAACTAGTGAAGGCTAACATTTGGTCTACTATTAACACGAAGCTGGAAAATTCTTTAGAAACAGCATTTTGCCTGCTAATTCTTGGTCCATAGCTTCACTTGAAACATGAATATAAATGGTATTTTGAAAAGCAACCCAAAATTTGATAAATGATGGTATAAAGTTTCTATAAAGTTTGACTATGAAAATGCTCCAATTAAAAATATTTTTATCACTAGTTAACTAGAAGATACTCTGATAACAAAGAGAAAAATCCTACAGTTTCACTGCTTTAATAATTCTGTTGATAAATACAAACACATACACATAAAGATATTTTGAAAAATTGAAATACATATGTAATATACACACATATAAATACATATTCAGAACATTTTCATAAAGTCTGGAATGCAAGTTACCATGTATAGACTATTACCCATCCAATATCAGGGCCTCTTACAGTATAACTCCAGGAGGCACCATTTGCATAACATTGCTCCAGACAGCACCTTTAACATGTAATACAAAATTAATGGTACTCTTTGGCCATGTTGGCTGCTTTGATTTGGGGCAGAAATGTAAGCAAAGGATTGGCATTTAAAAGAATGAACTTCTGTGTTTGGAGGTTGGCAAACTGGCCTTGCTGCCAGTTTTAATACAGACCAAAGAACTAGGAATGGTTTTTACATTTTTGAATGGCAGGAAAAAACATCTAAAGAATACTAATTCGCAACATGAAAATTACATGAAATTCAAATTTTGGTATTCATAAATAAAGTTTTATTAGAACACAGCCACACTTATTTAACTATCATCTATGGCTGTTTCTTTGCTACAGGGGCAGAACTGAGTAGTTGAGACAGAGATTGTATGGCTGCAAAGCCTGAGGTTTTATTATCTGTCTCTTTATAAATAAAAGTTTGCCAGCCCCTGGTATTGATTATTCTGCTTCTTCAATTTTACAAGATAATCCTAAATAGTAGGCAAAAATGGCTAGCCTTTTTGACAAATTTAATTGTGGTAAACTGTGCTAATAATATTTTCTTCATTTGCTTTTTGTCACATTCTTTAATCTGATTCTTTAATGGTCACTTTTTTGTTTGTTTTCCTTCAATGTGTTGTTTAACTTAATAAATGATACTTCATCAATCTGTGTAGAGTTTTGTTACCACATTGATCAAATGTAACTGTAAATGAAATCATCCTTATTGATGAAAACCTTAAGGATCGTCCTGGTGGCAAGACATACACAATTCTTCTGGTACATTTAAAATGTTGAAGATATTATTTTCTCAGCTTTCTAACTAAATTTTACCTAACATGATTATACATTCACTCAGACCCAGTAAAATTACTTAAACATTTCATTGAATAAACTTTATTTTCTTTTTGTTTTATTTCAGAATATTGTACTAGGTTGAGTCCCTCTTCAGTAAACCCGAGTTACTTAGTATTGTATGTCTGTGATTTGCACTATAGATGGCAGTATATCATTTCTATTAGAATGTGTAACTTCTATAGCATTGTTAAAAGTTTATTTGACTAAGATCAAAATATTTATTTTGTGGATTAAAAAATATTTTCCTTTTGTAAACTTAATTGGAATTTGCAATTTATGTATCTTGTGAAGAAATTTGACACCTGGATTTGGGGAGGAAAAAACAAGATAGGAAACTAAAAGAAAAAGAAACATTATTTTACACTGGTAAGGCAATGTGAGTAAAATGAACTCATTGTCCATCTACATGGCTCAGCTTTTTTTCTATTTACCATCTGTTTTCCATTTGGAGAAAATCTTATCCATGGAAGAATTAAATTTAACATAGTTATATATTTTGGATTTTGAAAATAAAACCTGTGTAGATGAATCTCGATTTTATAAAGGAAATACATTTGAAGTGCTTATAAAAAGAAAGAGTAATTGGTTTATTGAAGATGTTGTGCCTCTGTTACTACTTGAGAATGGAATAACTTCTGTCTAATCATAAAAATTGTAATGCCAATATTGGTACTTTTTCAAATTACTGTGTTCTCATAAAGGTTTGCTTTCGTCCCATTAGTTGGTTGATCGTGTTTTTGATGAAAGCCTCAACTTCCGAAAGATTCCTCCATTAGTTCATTCCAAAACACCAGAAGGAAACAACGGTCGATCTGGTGATCCAAGACCTCAAGCAGCAGAGCCTCCCGATCACTTAACAATTACAAGGCGGAGAACCTGGAGCAGGGATGAAGTAAGTAAACTATAAATTTTAACATGTGGCAGAAGCAGCATATTCCATAAGTAAGAAAAGGAGGAACCATTCAGTGAGTAGGGCTGGGGAAAAAGTGATTC